>NC_000012.12:116551037-116702552 GCF_000001405.40 Homo sapiens
GTGAGCCACAGTGATGGGCTATAACTAATTCCTACTCATAACTCCTAACTAAGTTTAATGTCTGTCTTCCCTACCAGTGATGAGTTCCATGAAGACAAAGACCTGTTTATCTTGTTCTGCTCCAGCACCGAGCAGGTACTCAGTAAGAACTTGTAGAATTAGTGGATGGATGGATAGATGAACAGATGAATGGATGGATTAACAGATTAATAGATGGATGGATAGACAGAGGGATAGATGGATGGATGATGGATGGGTAAGTGGGTGGATGATAGACAGATGGTTATGATAGAGGGATGGCTGATTGGATGAATAGATGGATGGATAGATGGATGGATGAACAGATGGATGGGTGGATAGATGGACAGACGAATGGATGGATGGATGGATAAAATGATGCATGATAGATGGATGGATGAAAATGGAAGGAATGGCTGGATGGATGAACAGAAGGATGGATGAATGGATAGATGAATGGGTGAATATAGTTTGTATATGAACATGAATCACATTACCAGTACTTATCACTGAGAGAAAGTTCTAAGTTGCAGATGTTCAGAGAAATTTAAAGATGCAGACCTAAGATACAGGCCAGAAGGGCCATGCTGTCTCTAAGTCCCTGGGTAGAATCCTTCCTTGCTTCTTCCTAGCTTCCAATGGTGGCCATAAATTCTTGGTGTTCCATGGCTTGTAGCTGTGTCTCTTCACTCTCTGCTTCCATCACCACATGGCCTTTCTCCCTGTGTGCCTCTGTCCGCTCATTGTTTTCCCTCTTCTTAGAAAGACACCAGTCATATTGGATCAAGGGCCCACTCTACTCCAGTATGACCTCCTCTTAACTAATTATATCTGCAATGACCCTGTTTCCCAACAAAGTCACATTCTGAGGTGTTGGGAATTTGGACGTCAACATATCTTTGGCAGGGGACACAATCCAACCCATAACAATCTGTGACATGGCAACCCCTCTCCCGGGTGTGTATCCTGGGGAAACTCCTGAATAGGATCATAAGAGGACGTGTGTGAGAATGTTGGTGGTGGCCAAGTTTGTCCCAGCAAGGAGCCCAAGGTGACCTACATGTCTATGACTGGAGGAAATGAGTCAGCCAGATTTGAAACATGCAGATGATGAAATAATACACAATACCCTGAATTTGCATACATCATCATGGATAGAGCTTAAAAATACAGTGTGAAATGAAAAAAGTAGGAACTAGACTGAGATTGATGACACAATACCATGGACATAAATTTAAAATATACACTCACAGAGCAAGACTATATATGTTTCATAAGCATTGGAAAGTGGGTTGGAAGGATTTATTTTGAAGATACTGGAGTCACTGCCTGTGGGAGGCAGTGAGAAATGCTAACAGCAGACGCAGGCGAAAAATAATACAAGAAGGCACAAGGAGGGCCTTGAACAGACAAATAGTGAATGTGTGGCATAAACTGAGAAGTGTGATTCTACGAAGGCGCCCACCCGGGGTCCAAATTTTGCAAAGAGGGGAGGAATCAGGAAAGGGATTAATGAGTGACAGTGGCGCCCAGGGCTGGGCGGAGTCCAGGTTCTGTGAGCATGCGCAGCAGGGCCCCTTGATCCACGCTGAGCTTCAAGAAAGAGTGCGGAGAAAACCGCCCTAAGCCCAGACGTGGAGGGGAATTGGAGCTGTGCAAGTCAAGAATTAAGCAGGCAGGGCCGAGCAGAAGGAACGGATGGTTAATAAGCCCCCAGGAGAGCCCAGGCTGGACCAAGTGCATCCGCCTGGGGAGAAGGAGAAGGGTACGGTCCGCATGGCCCCGCTGAGGAAGGAGTGGGGACAGGGCTGGCTGTGTGTGTGTCACCCACTCAGACGCCCACAGGGACCAGGTGGCGGAAATGAGCGAATGACCCAGGCGCATACTAAACACTTCCACAAATAATGATGGGCCTTTCTATATTTAAGAAACCCAGGGCCCCCCCAAGTCTCTATTTCTTTTCCTCCCTTTTGATGGAGACACGGGGGCTGGCTTCTTCTCTAAGAAAAACAATAGCGGCGTGTGATGAGAAGTGGTAGCCAACTCAGCCATGGGGGAGACATCAGAGGGGTAGGGCTTGGGGAGGACAGGAAAGGGACGTCCCAGCTCCATGGGAGGGCTGCTGCCTGGTAGCTTCAGAGGATGCCTCCGCCCGAATGTGGTCCCGATGTTGACAGATACTTCCTTTTCCAAGAGAAACTGTGAAACTGGATTTTTATTGGAAATCTTTTTATTTGACATAGTAAAATCTAACTGAACGACAATGAGGTACCACATCACACGCACTAGGATAGCTATAATAAAATAGAATGGAAAATACGAAATTTTGATGAGGAAGTGGAGCAGTTGGAACCCTTGTACATTGCTGGTAGGAAAGTAAGGTGACCCACTCACTGTGGAAAAGTTTGGAGGTTCCTCAGGAAGTTAAACATAGCCTTATCATATAACCCAGCAATTCCACTCCTAGGTATATGCCCAAAAGAATTGAAAGCAGGTACTCTACATGAAGACAAGTACATCTACATGCATGTTCCTAGCAGCGCAGTTCATGATCACCAGGAGGTGGAAACAACCCAAATGTCTGTCATCATGTATGCTGCAATGTAACTGAATCTTGAAAAGGTTATGCCAAGTGAATGAAGCCAGACACTAAAAGTCATACATTGTATGATTCCATTTATATGAAATGTCCAGAATAGGCAAATCCATAGACGGACAGCTGACGAGAGGGTTGCCAGGAGTTGGAGGGATGAGGGTATGGGAGTGAATAAGTGCTGGGTAATGGGTTTCCTTTTGGAGTAGTGAAAGTGTTTTGGAACCAGATAGAGGCGATGGTTACACAAGATTGTGAATATTCTAAATGCCACTGAATTGTTCACTTTAAAATGCTGAATTTTTGCCAGGCACAGTGGCTCATGCCTGTTATCCCAGAACTTTGGGAGGCCGAGGCAGAAGGATCACTTGAGGTCAGGAGTTTGAGACCAGCCTGGCCAACATGGTGAAACCCCATCTCTACTAAAAATACAAAAATTAGCCAGGCATGGTGGTACATGCCTGTAATCCCAGCTACTCAGGAGGCTGAGGCAGGAAAATCTCTTGAACCCAGGAGGTGGAGGTTGCAGTGAGCCAAGATCGCGTCACTACACTCCAGCCTGGGTGACAGAGTGAGAGTTGGTCTTAAAAAAAAAAAAAAAGAAAAACAAAACAAAAACAAACAAACAATGCTTAATTTTTGCCAGGTGCAGTGGCTTATGCCTGTTATCCCAGAACTTTGGGAGGCTGAGTCAGGAGGATCACTTGAGGCCAGTTCAAGACCAGCCTGGGAAACATAGCAAGAGCCTGTCTCTATTGGGAGAAAAAAAAAAAAAAGGTAATAAATAAAATGCTTAATTTTATATTATGTCGATTTCACCTCAATTTTTAAAAAACTGGAAAATGTAATTCAAATATATAAGGAAAAACATGTCAGCCAAATGGATTCAGGCTGTAGGCTGCATCTGAACCCCTGGGGTGCCAGTTTCTAAGTTTGATATGGGGCTTACAGTCAGCAGGAGCCCCATAATCTTGTACAGAGCTGTAGGAATAGGAACTGTTTTACTGGCAGGGAAACTGAGACTCCAAGGAGGTAAAGTGATGGGATCAGAGTCAAGCGCAGGAGCTGGAGCTGAGCCCCAGAGGGTGATCTCCCAGCACAATTGATCCTGTGCTCTCTGCAGTTGGGGCCAAGGGCTGTAGAAAGCATTAGAAAGGTGGCAGCTATTGAAGCAGGTGGCAGAAGGAGGATGCCTGGAAGTTCAGACAAGAACTGTGCATCGAAGCCAGGCACGGTGGCTCGTGCCTGTAATCCCAGCACTTTGGGAGGCTGAGGTGAGTGGATCACTTGAGGTCAGGAGTTTAAGACCATCCTTGCCAACATGGTGAAACTCTGTCTCTACCAAAAATATATAATAATTAGCCGGGTGTGGTGACGCACGCCTGTAGTCCCAGCTTCTTGGGAGGCTGAGGCAGGAGAATCACTTGAACCCAGGAGGCGGAGGTTTCAGTGAGTTGAGATCGTGCCACTGCACTTCAGCCTGGGTGGCAGAGTTGAGACTCCATCTCAAAAAAAAAAAAAAAAAAAAAGAAAGAATTGTGCATCCAGATCTCCTTGGAGTTGTTACCTCCTCTCACACAAGGCCCAGAAAACTCTATCAATTGAAGCCCATTCAGCAAGGCTGGATTGAGTATGTACTGTGCATGTGGCATGCACCAAGTGAAACTAATAAAAGTAGTCAGTGCAAAGGCTTAAGGGTTCACCTTGTGCAAAGCACATTCTGTTGAGACCTCCTCTGATGCTCAGGGTAATGCTGTGAGGTGGAAACAGCATTGCCACATGGATTGCATGCATGCATTTAACTTTTATACCATGCATGCATTTAACTTACATAATGCATGCATTAAACTTACATAAATTCAACTAACTGCAGTTGGCCAAAAGGAAAGGAGAAAAATCCTCATTGAAAGGGGGTAGACCTGTCGTGTCCCCGTGCGAACTTGCCACACGGGAAGCATGGAAATGGAATATATGGATCTGTTCTCGTTGTCTCCAATCCTGGCAGCCTTTCCTAGAATGAGCAGCTCTCTGTGCTGAGTGGGATTCTAGCTGAGGATTTCTCAGCCTTGGCGCTACTGACATTCTGGGTTGGATCATTATTAGTTGTGGGGACTGTCTAGTGTGTTGGAGGATGTTTCGAGGCATCTCTGGCCTCCATCCACTAGATGCCAGGAGCGTTTATTCCTACCCCTAGTTATGACAACCAAAAATGTCTTCAGGTGCTGCCACACATCCCCTGAGGGGCAAAATCACCCTGGCTGAGAATCACTCATCTAGAGTTTAAAATGCATATTTATTAAAATGCATATTTATTGGTGCTCAACTAAGGAGCAGGATTGGAGGTGGGGGATGGGGAGGATGGGGAGGTGGGTAAATGGCTGCATTATGATGATAGTATTATTGTTACAGGAAAGTGGTCCCAATCCAGACCCCAAGAGAGGATTCTTGGATCTTGCTCAAGAAAGAATTCAGGGCAAGTCCATAAAGTGAATGCAAGTTTATTGAGAAAGTAAAGGAATCAAAGAATGGCTACTCCATAGGCAGAACAGCCCCAAGGGCTGCTGGTTGCCCATTTTTATGGTTATTTCTTGATGATGTGCTAAACAAGGGGTGGATTATTCATGCCTCCCCTTTTTAGACCATATAGGGTAACCTCCTGACGTTGCCATGGCATTTGTAAACTGTCATGGTGCTGGTGGGAGTGTAGCAGTGAGGATGACCAGAGGTCACTCTGGTCACCATCTTGGTTTTGGTGGGTTTTAGCTGGCATCTTACTGCAACCTGTTTTATCAGCAAGGTCTTTATGACCTGTATCTTTTGTTGACCTCCTATCTCATCCTGTGACTTAGAATGTCTTAATCATCGGGAATGCAGCCCTTTTTACCCAGCTCCTATTCAAGATGGAGTTGCTCTTGTTCACAAGTCTCTGACATTACGACAATTTGCTGACTTGTGGCTGTGCCATACCTTGTGGAAGGGGGCGGAGTTAAGGGATTTTCACGGAAATGTTTTCCTTCACCTTGACTTTAGAATCTAGTACCCATATATGCTCACTGCAACTCAAGTCCCACAGGTGAGAAAATGGGGGCCCCAGGGAGTTAGTCACTTGCCTAAGGTCTCAGAGCTCATGAGTGACAAAGAAGAGATTCAAGCCCAATCTACTTTACTAGGAAACCCGCTCCCTTTTTTTCCCCCCTTTTTTCTTTCCCTTCTCTCATTGTTTTGCCTTCCTGTCCACAAGAGGGGTCTAAGGGAAATCAGCGTGCCAGAAGGTAGAGTCTCACCACAGACTCTCCACTACTGCAGGTGGCACTGAGTGTCATCGGCCTGCCTCACAGTTCTGGATGAGGCCACAGGTAAATTCAGATTCCAAAGGTTTATGAAGCTGGTATGACTTAGGACTCTTCTAGCTGCAAGAGACAAAAGCCTAATTCAGACTAGGTCAAACCAAAAAGGAACCATATTGACTCACATAACTAGCAAGTTGAAGGGGTGATGGCTTCAGGCATGGCGGGATCAAGGGGCTCAAATGGTCATCAGCATATGATCTCTCCATTTTTGGTTTCATCTCTGTTAGCTTCATTCTCTGAACAACTCTTCCTTCCATTATACAAAGAGAGCCAATGGCAGCACTGAGTGTAAAACTTGAGCTTTTAGAAATCCAGCAGAAAGATTTCCTCCCTCCTAAGAGATTCATCCAACATTCCTGAAATTCACTCTGATTGTCCCAGCTTGAGTCCCAGGGATGTTTCCAGAAATGAATCACTATGGCCAGGGGCATATGAGACCCCATGATCAGGCCTGGGCCACCTCCTCACTTCCAGAGTTTGAGAGTAAGTTGAGCCCCAAATCTTACGGAAAAAAGAGTGGGAGGAGGAAGAGTAGTATTCTGTGGCCAACCTAGAAAACCACAGAAATTCCTCCCACCTTCTGCTCAGGCCAGTGGGAAACTTGTAAGACAGAGTCCCAGTCCATGTGAGTGGCGAGTGGGGGCATCTTGGGAGGGGCCTTCCAAAGGCAAAGCCAGGCTGGTTTGGTGGAGTCCTTTCCAGAACCCATCTGCTTGTGTAAAGCCTAGCAGAGGCCACCTTCAGCAGCCCTCCCGGATACTGGTTAAAGTGTTGTTATTGTTTGAGACAGGGTCTCACTCTGCCACCCATACTAGAGGGCAGTAGTACAATCTCGGCTCACTGCAACCTCCACCTCCCGGGTTCAAGCGATTCTCCTGCCTCAGCCTCCTGAGTAGCTGGGACTACAGGCATGTGCCACCGTGTCCCGCTAATTTTTGTATTTTTGGTAGAGATGAGGCTTCACCATGTTGGCCAGGCTGGTTTTGAACTCCTGATCTCAAGTAATCCACCCACCCTGGCCTCCCAAAGTACTGGGATTACAGGCATGAGCCACTGCACCCGGACTTAAAGTGGTTTTTAAAAAGTGCCGTGTGAGACTTCCAAATAGTACTCACGGGGAGGGAAATGAAAGGAGAGGATTGGGGAAGAAACACCTTCTATTTTTTTTTTTTTTTTTTTTTTTTAGAGACAGGGTCTTGCTCTGTCACCCAGGCTGCAGCCTGGACCTCTTGGGCTCAAGGGATCCTCCCACCTTAGCCTCCTGTGTAGCTGGGACCACAGGCGTGCACCGCCACACCCAGCTAATTTTTTTTATTTTTTTGCAGAGATGGGGTCTCTCTATGTTGCCCAGGCTGGCCTCAAACTCCTGGGCTCAAGTGATCCTCCCTTCTCGGCCTCCCAAAGTACTGGGATTACAGGGGTGAGCCACCTCACCTGTACAGCTTCTTTGGAGAATGGGCCTGGGCAGGTCAAACAGGGGCCACTCTACACCATCATGGCACAGCAAGAGCTGGGCTATGTAGGTTCAGTATTCTTTGTCATTTAATCCTTGTGACGACCTCGTGTCATCATTGCTGTTTTACAGATAAGGAACTGAGGCTCAGAGAGGTTCAGTGTCACAGCTAGCATTTCACTTACATATCACAGAGCAAAGGCTCTCTTTGTCCAGAGACAACGTGCCTTTAGGTGATAGAGCTAGGACTGGAACCCAAGTCTATCTGACTCAAAGTCCACACAGCTTGTCCCCCATCCCGCAGGGACCTCTCCACGCTAGTGAGCCCCACGAAACCCCCTCAGTGCTTCGTTCCAGTCTTTTACCTTCAAGCCCAGTCAGCGAGTTCTTTATTTCCACAAATGGTGCTATTAAACTAATGGCTTCGGGAGCTATAGGCTGGCCTCGGCACAGTTACACATCTCTCCACCCACCATGTTCTGGCTTCCAAATAAATACATTGGAAATTCCAGGAGCCGAAGCCCATTTGGAAACGTTTCCGGGCCACCATTTTGCTTTGGGATGGGCAAGAAGAGACACCCTAAACTTGAACTCCTGTCTGTGCAGCCTCCAGCCGGCCAGGCGCTAAATAAGGCCACGGCCCGTTTCCTCCTTCAAAAGTCCCTTGTAAAGGGCGATAGCAGACCCCATCAGGCAAAAAGCTGAGAAGCCAGGGTTGAAATAGAGGCCTCTTTCTGTTTGGTCAATCAGCAGCTGCAAAGGATGCGTAGGATGGAGCTAAATTTATTTGTTCCTTTCTTTCTCAGCAACAGCGACGAGGCCCGAGGTGCAGCTGTCTCGCCTCGCCTGTCTTTTGCAGGCACCGGCATGCACAGAAGATGGCTCTCCGGGAGGAAGATTCCTTTCCATTTTGTTCTCTCTCTGCCTCCGCAAGGCTCGCAGCCACCTCTCGGGAGTGCAGGGCCAGATCCTGTGCCAGCGGGTAGGAATATGTAGCTGCCTCCCAGCCCCAGGGTGGAAATCATGACCTTTGAGAAGCAGGCAAGCTGCACGGCATAGATACTCAGGCCTGGTGAAGGCAAAGTGGGGCCACACCCTAGAAAAACCACAAAAGTCCCCACAGCCTCTGCTTTCACTAGTCAGACCTGTGGGAAACTTGTAAGACACAGTCCATGTGATCGGCGGGTGGGGGCATGTTGGGAGGGGCCTTCCGAAGGCCACAGCCAGGCTGGCAGGGCAGAGTCCTTTCCAGAATTTATCTGTTTGCTTAAAGCCCAGCGGAGGGGCCACCTTCAGTCAACCCTCCAGCATACTGGTCCAAGTAGTTTTTTCAAAGTGCTTTGTGAGACTTTCAAAAGGTACCCATGGGGAGGGAAGTGAGAGGAGGAGGAGGGGACGGTGAAGAAACAGCTTCTTTATTTCTAGCCTTGCTTGAATGGCTTCTTGACGGTTACTGCTCCAGTTTTGCTGAGTCAGAAGAATCCCACAGCCGCTCACCGGAAACACAGCTGTTGGGCAAAAATAACCACAGAGCTGAGCATCATGCACCTTCCAGAAAAGATGGCAGAAAACCTCAAAACAAAAGAGAAATACAAAACAATAGGAGACACTGTCAAGAAAAAAAAAACAAAAACAAAAACCACCGCAGCTCACTAACCGATCCAAGCTGGTGGCGCTCTCCTGATCTCTCTCCACTCCCAGGCCCAGCAACGGCTCTGAAATAAAGCTAAGTTTGGCTATATATATATATATATATATATATATATATATATATATATATATATATATATGTATGTATATGTATATATATATATTTAGATAGAGTCTTCCTCTGTCGCCCAGGCTGGAATGCAGTGGCGCGCTCTCGGCTCGCTGCAACCTCTGCCTCCTGGGTTCAAGTGATTCTCCTGCCTCAGCCTTCCGACTAGCTGGGATTACAGGTGCGCCACCACGCCCAGCTAATTTTTGTATTTTTAGTAGAGACGAGGTTTCGCCATGTTGGCCAGGCTGGTCTCGAACTCCTGACCTCAAGTGATCCGCCCACCTCGGCCTCCCAAAGTCTTGGGATTACAGGTGTGAACCATCACATCTGGCCTACTTTTACACTGTAGTGGGTTTAATAGTGTCTCCCCAGTCACACCTCCACCAAAAAAAGAAAAGATATGTCCACAGTCTAATGTGCTGCAGCACCTGTGAATGTGACCTTAATGGAGAAAGGATCTTTGCAGGTGTAAATTAATTTTAGGATCTCAAGATTGAATCATCCTAGACTACCTGGGTGGACCTCAAATCCAATGACAGGTATCCTTATAAAAGGAAGGCAGATCCAGCTTGGGCAACATAGGGAGACCCTGTTTCTACAAATAGTTTAAAAAAAAAAAAAGGCTGGGCATAGTGGCTTACACCTCTAATCCCAGCACCTTGGGAGTCCAAGGTGGGCAGGTCACTTGAGGCCAGGAGTTCAAGACCAGCTTGCCCAATATGGCTTAACCCCATCTCTACTAAAACTACAAAAATTAGCTGGGCATGGTAGTGTATGCCTGTAGTCCCCGCTACTTGGGAGGCTGAGACACAAGAATCACTTGAATCCGGGAAGCAGAGGTTGCAGTGAGCTGAGATTGTGCCACTGTACTCCAGCTTGGGCAACAGAGCACGACTCCATCTCAGAAAAAAAGCTGTGGGGGACAGTGGTGTGTGCCTGTGGTCCCAGCTACTTGTGAGGCTGAGACAGGAGGATCTCTTGAGCCCAGAAGTTCGAGGCTGCAGTGAGCTATGATGGCACCACTGTACTCCAGCCTGGGTGACCAAGTGAGACCCTGTCTCAAAATAAAAAAAAAAAAGTGTGGCAGAGGTAGATGGGTAGATTAGACACACAGAGAGGAAGTCCCAGAGGAACTTGGAAGTGAGGATTGGAGTTTTGCAGCTACAAACCAAGGATATTAGGGCACTCATAAGAAACTAACAGAGCCACCCCAGGCTTCTGTTTACCAGGTCCTCCCCTGGCCATCTCCTTCCCCTTGTCTGGGCTGAAAACATTCACAGCATCTTGTTTGCGTGGACACCGAGTTTCCCTTTCCCCAGACTTCATAACGATCAGGAAGCAGGATGGGGCCTTGAGGACTCCCGAGACTAAGGGAGGAGTCGAGGGTCCCTGGTTGTAGATAAGTCTTGGCCACAGGCCAGGAGTGTGACCTCATTAACCAGCAGCCATTAGCCATTCACTGAGGCAGCTGGATCCTGGTTCTGCCCCTTACTAGCTGTGTGGCCTGGGGTAAGGTATTTACCCTCCCTGGGCCTCTGTCTCCTCATCTGTCCAATGGAGATAATTAGAAAACTTCCCTTACACAGTTGTTGTAAGGATGGAGCAAGTACATGCAAAGCTGTTCTTGAACGAGGCTGGACTCTGTGCTTCTTATTGTCCAGTGCTTTACACAAGTGTAGTAAGGCTATTGTTTTTCCCTGTCAGCATCTATGACACTATCTTTTGCTTCAGCATCCTGGCTTGCCTTCGGGAGACCATCTCTCTTCCACCCCCTCATTCCAGGAGAGGGTATATCACCCAGACCTGACCAGTCAGACTCAGCTCAGTTCAGGGATGGGAATGTGATCCAAAGTGGGTCCATCAGAGCAAATAGTTGCCGAAACTCGTAGGGAAAAGAAATTCACTTTCTCTTGGTTCCACTATGTGGTGGGATATGAGCGTGGAGCATCTCTGCTGCTACCTAGGGAGAGGCTGCCTGAGACCGATGCCAAAACCCCAGAAAGCAGAGATAAAAGATAGTGGGAGAGTCCTGACAACAATATTTGTATCCCTGGATCCACCTGTGCCTGAAACCATCCGTAGCTCCAAACTCGCAAGTTCCGTGAAACAATAAATCTTTATGTTTAAGACAGTTTGAGTTGATCACTTGTAAACAAAGGCATCCTGACTCATGCAGTGTCTTATGTGATAATCTGAGCAGGAGGTAGACCTCTTATCCCTATTTTATGAGAAGAAACTGAGGCTTAGAGTAACTTAATCACTTGCATAAAATCACTAGTAAGTCCAGGGCTGTCGTCTGATCCATGTAGCCCTGGGAAGGTAGAACGATGATGTGCTTGGTGCATGCCTTGGGAAAGTCACATAAATCTCAAGGCTTTGAGTGGCCAATCTGTACCATAAAAGAGTTGGTATTTTTTAAACTTTCAAATGTATAGCTGATTACAAAAGTGACTATGACAATTAACTATGTATTTGCTCTCCATAACTGACAGATGTTGGCATTTTCTCACAGTTGCTTCAGAGATGAGCTGGTATCTGAAATACTATATAGCTCCTCGTTTCTGTGTCTTGATTCTGGATTGTAAAACACCTAGAAAGTCTGACTTGGCAAAACTTGAAAAAATTTCAAAGATACAGAAGCATTTTATATCTACTCACTTATTTATGATTTCTGGCATTCTTCATTTCTTAAATAAATCTGAGTTTTCACCCTGTATTATTTTTGCTCAGCCCAAACAAGAACTTTATTTTATTTTATTTTATTTGAGATGGAGTTTCGCTCTTGTTGTCCAGGCTAGAGTGCAATGGCGCGATCTCGGCTTACCACAACCCCTGCCTCCTAGGTTCAAGCGATTCTTCTGCCTCAGCCTCTCGAGTAGCTGGGATTACAGGCCTGCACCACCATGCCTGGTTAATTTTGTATTTTTTTAGTACGGGGTTTCTCCATGTCGGTCAGGCTGATCTCAAACTCCTAACCTCAGGTGATCTGCCCACCTCGGCCTCCCAAAGTGCTGGGATTACAGGCATGAGCCACCACACCTGGTAAAGAACTTCTTTTAATATTTCATATGGTGTAGGTCTACCGGTAATAAATTCTACCACTTTTTGTCAGTAAAACATTCTTTCACCTTCATTTAAAAAATATATTTTCACTGGACACAGACTTTTGGTTGACAGTTTTGTTTTTGTTTTCAAATGTAATGCATTAAGGGTGTTATTCCATTGTCTTCTGTGTTGCATTGTTTCTAAGGAGTAATCAGTGATAATTCTTATCTTGGTTCTTTGTATGTAATATGTATTTTTACCTTGGCTGCTTTTAAGATTTTGGTCTTTATTGCTGGTTTTAAACAATTTGATTAAGATGTGCCTTGATGTTCTTTTCTTTGTGTTTATCTTGCCTGGGCTTTGCTGAGCTTCTTGGATCTGTAACTTTATAGTTTTTATCAACTTTGGAACATTTTTAGCCATTATTATTTCAGGGTTTTATTTTCATCCTCTCCTCCTGGAACTGCAATTATTCGTAGGATAGATCTTCTGTTATTGTTGCATAGGCCCCTGACACTCTGATTATTTATTTTTTTGGCCCTTGTTTCTCCTGGTTCTTTAATGTGAATAACTTCTATTATTATGTCATTGGATTTACTGATTTTTTTTTCTTCTGCAGTCTTTAATATGCTGTTAAACTCATCTAGTAAATTATTATTTTATTTTTTAACAAATGGGATCTTGCTGTGTTGCCCAGGCTGGCCCCAAACTCCTGGGTTCAAGCAATTCTCCCACCTCAGCCTCCAAAGTAGCTGGGACTAAAGGTGCATGCCACCACACCCAGCAAATTTTTATTTTAGATATTGTATTTTTTATCTCCAGAAGATACATTTGGTTCTTTTTTTATAGCTTCCACTTTTCACTATGTTTATATTCTTTAGATCTATGAACATATTTATAATAACTTTTAAAATCTTTGTCAGTTAATTACATCATCTTTGTCATTTGGGGTCTGTTTATATTGACTGGTATTTTTCATGATAATGGGTCACATTTTCCTGCTTCTCTAGATGTCTAGTAAGTTTTCATTGGATGCTAGACAATGTAGATGCTGTGCAGCTGAGTGCCTGGGTTTTGTTATTTTCCTTTGATGTTTGTTTTGGGAGGCAATTGAGTTACTCATTGACCAGCTTGATTTTTTTTTTTTAAGGCTTTTTTTTAAGCTTTATTGCAGTGGCTCTAGAGAAGCTTCTTATCTAAAGCTGGCTTAGGCCTACAAGAAAGGTGTAGCCTCACAGTGGTCTCTAATGAATGCCTTGGATGTTCAACAAATTATTCCCATTCTGGCTTGCTAAGATTTGAATGTCCCCCAGTCCCATGAGAGCTCTTGGAATTATTCAGCTTATACCTCTCCAATAGCAGTTCCTTGACAGTCTTGTATCATTTTACCCAATATCTGAGCAACTTAGTATTTAGCCAGTGACTCAAGTGGTCCCCTGTGCAGATTTCTGGCACTATGTGTCCATATAACACCATCTTGCCTGGGACTTTGCGTCACAAATTTCAGCCTTTTCAACCTCCATATATTATAATCTCTCTCTTCAACTCAGAGAGGCCACTGTGCTCTGCATGGGATCCTCCTCCCTGTGCTGCAGTCTAAAAAGCTCTTCCAGGCAGAAAGCCAGGGTGATCACTGGGCTCACTTGATTTGCATCCCTTCTTTCAGGCCTCATAGTTCTACACTACCTGTGGCCCAATCTCTGAAAAACAATTGTTTTATATCTTTGGTCTGGCTTTCCAGTTGTGTACAGCTGGAAAACAACTTTGGTACCAATTCCTTCATCATGGCCAGAATCAGAAGAAGTTCACCCTGATAACTTAAGAAAGAAAAATTTAAAAAAGGAACATATTGGAAGGGCCTAGGGGAATTCACCAAAAAGAAGTAATAGCCAAAGAATAGTCCTCAAAAGGGACAGAGACCACAGAAACTCTGGAGATCCAGGGTGTCTTAGTCTGTTTTCACACTGCTGATAAAGACATACTCGAGACTGGGCAATTTACAAAAGAAAGAGGTTTAATGGACTTACAGTTCCACATGGATGTGGAGGCCTCACAATCATGGTGGAAGGCAAAGAGGAGCAAGTCATGTCTTACATGGATGGAGGCAGGAAAAGAGAGAATGAGAAACGAAGCGAAACGGATTTCCCCTTATCAAACCATCAGATCTCATTCACACATCTTATTCACTACCACGAGAACAGTATGGGGGAGCCGCCCCCATGATTCAGTTATCTCCCTCTGGGTCCCTCCCACAACATGTGGGAATTATGGGAGTACAATTCAAGATGGGATTTGGGTGGGGACACAGAGCCAAACCATATCACGGGAGAACTAAGAAACAGTCTCTTCAGGACATAGATGACTGGACAAATTAGCTCCATGCCCATGGGGTCCTTCAAGACTCAAATTTCTGGGAGGAGATATATGGTCTAGTCACAGTCATGGGCTTACCTCTTGGCCAGAGGAGGACAAGACACTTTGGTTAATGATTCTACCAAGATGATATACGATAGTGGGAGGACAGATTCCAAAGCAAAACTGGGTTGCTCCTTCCAGAAGCAAGGAGATTGGCCCCTTGGCAGGCAAAAACAACAGAGACACATTACAAAATATTTATGAAAGCAATATTTACGAAAGCACAAAATCTTTAAGTAGGGTTGGCTTTTGAACTCAGAGCCGTGAGGTTTCTTTTTGCTATTTCACCACAAGGCTGCATGAATTCGTTCTTTCCCCTGACATCTCTGCCTTCCCCTCCAACACAGACAGACTTTCTCCACAACAAATCCATTTTATGAGCAACATCTAGACAATAACAAACTTCTCATCAGGCCAGAAATGCCAGTTTATAGCTCATCGAGAACAGAGATTCTCTGAGCCTGCCAATGTTCAAGGAAGATTTCCAGAGAATAAAACTTGCTTGGGGGTGAAGGGCAAGCTTGAACCTGTGTCCTGGGAACAAAACATGCAGCAAAATGCATTTCTTCTTTTCCCACTACTCATAACTACCAGGAGTTGGAAGCACCTTGCCTGAAAGAGAAGGTTGTGTTTTGTGTTTCAAGAGTGAGTCTGAGGTAGCTGCAGGCTAGATTATTAAGCAGATTAATTCAACCAAATATATTGACAAATGCACCAGCAGGTAAAGGAAGAAGATGTTCTCTGCTTAGATTGTTGTGAGGAAGTTTCTGTGTCCCCACTCTGCCTAGAGGCTAATCAGATATGTGTGTGTGTGTGTAACCTCTACAAAACAAAACACCCCAAATCCTTAAAATATCCACAAATGTTGTTTTCTTGTATGATCATACCCATTTCAGAGATGAAAAATCTGAGATACAGTACGTGGAACTGTGAGTCAGTGATTAAAAAAAAAAAAAAAAAAAAAAACAAGAATTGAGGCCAGGTGTGGTCACTCATGTCTGTAATCCAAGCACTTTAGGAGACCGAGTCAGGCAGATCACCTGAGGTCAGGAGTTCGAGACCAGCCTGGCCAACATGGTGAAACCCTGTCTCTACTAAAATACAAAAATGTGCTGGGCGTGGTGGTGGGCACCTGTAGTCCCAGCTACTCAGGAGGCGGAGGCAGGAAAATTGCTTGAATCCAGGAGGTAGAGGTTGCAGAGAGCCAAGATCGTGCCACTGCATTCCAGTCTGGGCCACAGAGTGAGACTCTGTCTCAAAAAAAAAAAAAAAAAAAAAAAAAAAAAAAAAAAAAAAAAGAATTGAGTTCAAAACTGCAGGATAAAACTTTTCTGTATGTCTTGAGAATAATTTTGAAAGCAAGAGAAACGGAAAGGAAGAGAAGGGAGAGGGAGGGGAAAGGACAAAGGAGGTAAGGAAAGCAAGTTAGCTCTTTGGCTAATTCATGTCTTCAAAGGTGCCTGGGTTTTTGGAGATTTAGAGTGCTGAGAGATGCTGTTTGCACACCACCAAGATTCAAATTGAAATTATAGGCAAGTAAAAGCACCTCCTATCCCATGGCTAACTCCTTTCTCCAGCTTTACATGTTAGCTATGTCCACCCTCAGGTTCTCAACTTAGAAAGAAGTCTTTTTATTCCTTGAGGGGATTTATTTCTTTCTCAAGAAAGAAATCATGGTAATTTCATGCTGATTGAGAAAAGACCAAAATGAGCTTATAAAATTAATTCCTGGGAGAGTTTTAGTCACTTGTATCTTGTTGACTGCTTTGCAAATCTTTTTTTTTTTTTTTTTGGCCAGGCACGGTGGCTCACGCCTGTAGTCCCAGTACTTTGGGAGGCCGACGTGGGTGGATCACTTGAGGTCAGGAGTTTGAGACCAGCCTGGCCAACATGTTGACTCCAGGTCTCTACTAAAAATACAAAAATCAGCCAGGTGTGGTGGCACATGCCTGTAATCCCAGCTACTCAGGAGGTTGAGGCAGGAGAATTGCTTGAACCCCAGAGGTGGAGTTTGCAGTGAGCCGAGATTGTGTCACTGCACTCCAGCCTGGGTGACAGAGTGAGACTCTGTCTAAAAAATAAAAATAAAAAAATATATATATATATGTAAACCCTCTAAGGGTTTCGGTTGCCAGGAGAGAAGAAAATGGAACCCAAAACACTTAGAGGAGGAATGACAGACTCATTTTATAGAACAGTGGGAAGGGATTTGGGGATTAGGAAAACCTTCTGGGGAAGTGTCTGGAGCCTGCGAGTTCTTGAAAAGGACAAACGATCATGTTCCCCATTGTGTTTCAGATGCCCAGCACAATGCCTGATCTGCACTAGGTGTTCAGTAAATTATTTGTTGAACGAAAGAATGATTAAGTGAGTAAATGTGAATCTCCAGTCAGGCCTAACCTATGTTTTTGCCAAACCAGACTCCAATGCCTTGATAGCTTTGCAGCTCTTTTTCCATTCTTTGTCGTCCTGGCAATTGTCTCTGATCCTTTCAAGGCAATAGATGCGACCCTTTGTGGATTATGAACATCTCTGAGAATCTGCTGAGAGTAACAGGCCCTTTTCTCAAAAAAAAGAATGCACAGACACGTACACACAATTTGGCATATCTTTTCAAGTGAGCGAATGCCCTGAACCTCACATGTGGCCACAGCCTAACAATCTCTGGAGCTTTTCCCACTCTTCTTCCTGTCTCTCTGCCCTGCAGACTTATTTGCTCCTTCACTGGGTCCTCATAGCACTTTTTAAAATCTTTTCAGTTTTTAGCTTAAAACAACATGTACTTTATTCACAAGTCTGTAATTTGTGCAGAGCTTGGGGGATGCCCTCTGGCTCCACTTCAGGCTGGGGCTGGAATCACCTGAAGGATTACTGCATGGTTTGAATGTGTCCCCCAAATTTCATGTACTGGAAACTTAGATCTCCAAGTTCATATGTTGATGGTATTTGGATGTGGGGCCTTTAGGAGGTAATTAGGATTAGATAAAGTCATCAGGGTGCAGCCCCCATGATGGGACTGGTGGCTTTATGAGCAGAGGAGGAGAGGCCTGAGCTGACACACATATTCTTGCCCTTTCATCATGTGATGCCCTCCACCATGTTATGATGCAGCAGGAAGGCCCTTGCCAGACACTGGCACCCTGATATTGGACTTCCCAGCCTCTAGAACTGTAAGAAATAAATTTCTTTTCTTTCTTTTTTTTTTTTTTGAGACAGAATCTCTGTCTCCCAGGCTGGAGTGCAGTGGCGCATCTCCACTCACTGCAAGCTTCGCCTCCTGGGTTCACGCCATTCTCCTGCCTCAGCCTCCTGCGTACCTGGGATTACAGGCACCCACCACCACGCCTGGCTAACTTTTTGTATTTTTTTTAGTAGAGATGGGGTTTCACGGTGTTAGCCAGGATGGTCTCGATCTCCTGACCTCATGATCCGCCCACCTCGGCCTCCCAAAGTACTGGGATTACAGGTGTGAACTACCGCGCCCGGCCAATTTCTTTTCTTTATAAATTTCTTTTCTCTAGAAATTACCCAGTCTATGATATTCTGTTATAGTAGCAGAACACAGACTAAGACAATTGCTCACTCACCTGTCCAGAAGCTGTCCAGAGATTGATGCTGAAGAGACCTAAACAGTGGGGAGCTAAAATAGCTGGGGGTCCTCAGGCATCTCCTCCTGTCTCTATGTGGTCTTTCTATGCATTCTCTCTGGCTTATCCAGAGCACTTTAAACATACCTCTCTTACTACTTAACCCACAACGTAGTAGTTGTTATTTGGGCCTGTGGATTGTGGCAATGTACTTAACATCTGTTTCATTGGCAAAACTGTAAATCCTTCAAGGACAAGGACCATAACTTGTTCATCTCTATTTCCTTAAGACCCTAGCAGCTACCTTGTATGTAACTATGTATTTAATATATGCTAGTTGGAATATGCACGTAGGTATGTGTTTATTTTATCATGATGTCCCACTACATTTCAACAAAGAAGTAGAATGGCGCTTATATACATACCTCAATACAACAAAATAAAAATGCAAATCAAAGAAATGGGGATAAAGTAAAAATAAAGCTAGGAAAAATGTTAAAATAAAAGATAACAGGCCAGGCATGGTGGCTCGCTCCTGTAATCCCAGCACTCTGGCAGGCCTAGGTGGGCAGATCACAAGGTCAAGAGATCGAGACCATCCTGGCCAACATGGTGAAAACCTGTCTCTACTAAAAATACAAAAATTAGCTGGGCATGGTGGCACGCACCTGTAGTCCCAGCTACTTGGGAGGCTGAGACAGGAGAATTGGTTGAACCCAGGAGTCAGAGGTTGCAGGGAGCCGAGATCGCGCCACTGCACTCCAGCCTGGCCACAGAGTGAGACTCCATCTCAAAAATAAAATAAAATAAAATAAAATCACTACCCAAAATGCATACCCACAAAGTTGTATATCATTATTGTCAGTGGCTCAGAAGAAGGGGCAAAGAGGGAAATACCCTCATTACTAAAGTTCACAGGGTTGCATACAGATGATCCTCAATTTACAATGGCTCAACTTATAATTTTTCAACTTTATGATGGTGCAAAAGTAACATGCATTCAGTAGAAACTGTACTTCAAGTACCCATACAGCCATTCTGCTTTTTGCTGTTAGTACAGCATTCAATAAACATGAGATATTCAACACTTTATTATAAAATAGGCTTTGTGTTAGATGATTTTGCCCAACTGTAGGTTAATATAAGTGTTCTGAGCTTGTTTAAAGTAGGCTAGGTGATATGGTTGGGCTGTGTCTCCACCCAAATCTTGTCTTGAATTGTAGCTCCCATCATTCCCATGTGTTGTGGGGGAACTCAATGGGAGGTAATTGAATCATGGGGGCAGTTTCCCCCATACTGTTCTGGTGGTAGTGAGTAAGTCTCACGAGATCTGATGGTTTTATAAGGGGTTCCCCCTTTCACTTGGCTCTCATTCTCTCTTGCCTGCTGCCATGTAAGATGTGCCTTTTGCCTTCCACCATGATTGTGAGGCCTCCCCAGCCACGTGGAACCTCTTTTCTTTATAAATTACCCAGTCTTGGGTAAGTCTTTATCAGCCACATGAAAACAAAGTAATACTCTAGGCTAAGCTATGATGTTTGGTAGGTTAGGTGAATTAAATGCATTTTCAACGTATGATAGGTTTACCAGGATGTATTAATAAGTCGAGAAGCACCTGTGTAAGGCAACTGATCACTTGGGAAAACACAGTTTGTGTGAGTAACAAGGTATATAAGAAATGTTCTTCTATCGGTTGCAATTTTATTGCAACTTCCTTGTGATAAAAATGATAGCATATTTATACCATGATTTCTCTGTAATGTGCCTCAATTCAGGTTAAGGGAGGTTCAATACAAGAAAATCTACAAGTGGCCAAAACAAACGGCTTAAAGCTGCAATTCTGTAAGGGTCTGATTTTATCTAAGGACATATTTAAGACCATGTAGTCCAGCTTTTTCTGAAGAGTACACTATGGAATAACAATCTTGGAAAAGCTCTGCCCATAATGGCTTCTGTGGTTGAGGAAAGGTGGGAAACCCACTCACGTCTTCCTCTTGGAAGTGCACAGTAAAACACTAGCATTTTAAAGGCTCTGAGAAGTCCTGCAGTAAGGAAACCCAGCATTTGCCAGGTTTCTCTGACTACTGTTGTGCAAGAACCTTGGGGCAGTCTCAAAATGTGACCTAGGTCCACTGATCCTACCATGAAATGAATTTTTCCTTCTCGTGAGAATAGATGGGAGTAAGGGACTGCTGTTCTTTTTTTTTTTTTTTTTTTTTTTTTTTTTTTTTTTTTTTTGAGACGGAGTCTCATTCTGTCGCCCAGGCTGGGGTGCAGTGGGGCGATTTCTGCTCACTGCAAGCTCCGCCTCCCGGGTTCATGCCATTCTCCTGCCTCAGCCTCCCGAGTAGCTGGGACTACAGGTGCCCACCACCACACCCAGCTAATTTTTTTGTATTTTTAGTAGAGACGGGATTTCACCGTGTTAGCCAGGATGGTCTCGATCTCCTAACCTCGTGATCCGCCTGTCTCGGCCGCCCAAAGTGCTGGGATTACAGACGTAAGCCACCGCGCCCGGCCACGGACTGCTATTCTTAGGGACGTTATTCTGAACTGTCTCTCCTTTGTCCTAAAAAGACCTAGGAGAGAAACAAAGTAATGTCCGCGAAGTTCCTGCTTAAAGCAACTGTTGTTTTTTTTTTTAATGGTCATAGCTGTAGAAAACAACATACTTCTTGTTTGTTTTCTATAGCTATGACCGTTACAAAAAAAAAAAGGGTTAGGGAGAAACTTGTCCTCTTACATTGCAAATAAAGGAAAAGAAGGGTGTGATTGAATGTTACCGAGAGTTCACAATTTCTGCCGCTAAGAAAATAAAAAAGAGTCCTCTCTATAGACATCAGACAAGACCTTTAGATTATCCATAACCTTGATCATAAAATGATCGACACTTGCTCAGGCCAATCAGAAAACCAAAGAGTTGTACCTTCAGCAGATAGATTGCCAGAAGCAGCACGGGCATCGTCTATTTGTTTTGGTATTGCATATGAAAGGAAATCAAGGGTATCTGTTACTCTTTGTCCAGCTCCTGTCTCCTGGTACACTAACATTTTCATCTCAAAAGAATCAAAACGTATCTAGTCCAAAAAGGAAAGGCATGCCTCAGTTCTTTTTTTTTTTTTGAGATGGAGTCTCGCTCTGTCGCCCAGGCTGGAGTGCGGCGGCGTGATCTCAGCTCACTGCAAGCTCCGCCTCCCAGGCCCACACCATTCTCCTGCCTCAGCCTCCCGAGTAGCTGGGACTACAGGCTTCCGCCACTACACCCGGCTAATTTTTTGTATTTTTAGTAGAGACAGGGTTTCACCGTGTTAGCCAGGATGGTCTCGAACTCCTGACCTTTTGATCCGCCCGCCTCAGCCTCCCAAAGTGCTGGGATTACAGGCGTGAGCCACGGCGCCCAGCCAAGGCATGCCTCAGTTCTACATGCCATAGAACAATCCCAGAGTCTTTTCTTCACAGAATACTTGTTAATATCCACTTACTATTCTGTGGAACACACTGGAAATCGGTGATTAAGTACATAGAAGGACTGCAGAGTCTTTAGGTCAATGGTTCTCAAACTAAGTTCCCCAGAACAGAGTCTCAGAGGCTGCTAGGGAGGGATGGAGAGGCCCTTGGCAGGCAGAGGTCTGGGCCCTCAGCCTCAATTCAATTGTGGCGGATTTTTTTTGTTTGTTTTTCCTGAGACAGTCTGGAGTCTGGTTCTGTCTCCCAGGGCCAGTGGCACGATCTTGGCTCACCGCAACCTCTGCCTCCTGGGTTCAAGCGATTCTCCTGCCTCAGTCTCTTGAGTAGCTGGGACTACAGCACGTGCCACAATGCCCAGCTGATTTTTGTAGTTTTATTAGAGACAGCGTTTCACCACGTTGTCCAGGCTGTTCTCAAACTTCTGATCTTAGGTGATCCTCCCACCTTGACCTCTTAAAGCACTGGCATTACAGGCATGAGCTACGGTGCCCAGCTGAATTATCTTTTTTTCTACATAAAAACTTGTTAGGAAAAAAAAGTTTCTGTTACTTAAAATTAGAAAATATTTGAGAGCCACTGCTTTAAACAGAGCTCCATATACATTATTTTTCACAGCTGAGATTCTGATAAGGCAAACGATCTTAGTTATATTCTTAGCAAGAACCTGGGGGCAGAAATTTAATTATTTTAGATTAAAAGCAGAACCATGGCAAAACAGCATAAACAAATAAAAGATTTGCAACTATATAATTCATAAAGGATTAATATCGTCTTCCTTTTTCTTTTTCTTTTTCTTTTATTATTTTTTTGAGACAGAGTCGCTCTGTCGCCAGGCTAGAGTGCAGTGGCGTGATCTCGGCTCACTGCAACCTCTGCCTCCTGGATTCAAGCAATTCTCCTGCCCCAGCCTCCCAAGTATCTGGGATTACAGGTGTGCGCCACCACACCTGGCTAATTTTTGTGTTTTTAGTAGAGATGGGGTTTCACCATGTTGGCCAGGCTGGTCTCAAATTCCTGATTTCAAGTGATCCACTCGCCTTGGCTGCCCAAAGTTCTGGCATGAGCCACTGCGCCCAGCTGATATCCTTAATTTATAAGACAATCTTACAAAATAAAAAGACCAATAGCCCAGGCAAAACATGGGGCAAGGCTGCAGCTTTCACAGAAGTAGAAATGCAAATGGCCAACGAGCATATGAAAAGATGCTCAGCCTCACTTGTCAGGCAAATGCAAATGAGAACAATGAGATACTATTTTTTACCCATCAGATTGGCAAAAATGGAACATATGTGTAACATCCAGAGCTCGTGAGGGTGTAAGAAATCCAGTTCCTTTGAACACCATTGGGGGAGGTCTGTAAATTATTATAACGTGGTGGAAAATCAACTTGGTATTTTTGAAAATTTAAGCTGTGGCCCAGGACTCCTATTTCTGAGAATATATCCACCAGAAATGAAAATGTCAGTATACAAAGACATAAATCTATAAAGAAATTTATTGCAGTATCGTTTGTAATAGTTAAAAAAAAAAACCTGGAAGCAGTCTGAATGTACATTAACAAAAACATGGTTGAGCAAGTCATGATATATTTATATTAAGAAAAACAGTGCAGGTATTAAAAATTACAAAATAGGCTGTCTCAGAGGCTCACACCTGCAATCTACCACATAAGGAGGCCGAGGTGGGCAGATCTCTTGAGCCCAGGAATTCAAGAACAACCTGGGCAATATGGCAAAACTCCACTTCTACAAAAAATAAAAAATAAAAAATAGCTGGGTGTGGTGGCGTGCCCCTGTGGCCCCAGCTATTTGGGAGGCTGAGGTAGGAGGATTGCTTGAGTCCAGGAGGTCAAGGTTGCAGTGAGCTATGATCGTGCCACTGTGCTCCAGCCTGGGGGACAGAGCGAGACCCTGTCTCAAAAAGAAAGAAAAAAAAAAAGCATACAAACACACATACACATTTTTGTATTTTTTTAATTTTGGTAATTTTTAGTATTTTTGTGTTTTTAGTAGAGACAGGGTTTTGCTATGTTGGCCAGGCTGGTCTTGAACTCCTGACCTCAAGTGATCCACCAGCCTCAGCCTCCCAAAGTGTTGGGATTACAGGCCTATATATTTAAATATAATACATCTGAACATAGTGGCTGGGAGATAGCCCTGCAACACCTTGTTAAATATTAAAAAAGCAAATGTCAGCGGGTGCAGTGGCTCACGTCTGTGATCCCAACACTTTGGGAGGCCCAGGAGTTCAAGACCAGCCTGACCAACGTGGAGAAACCCCGTCTCTACTAAAAATACAAAAATTATCCGGGCTTGGTGGTGCATGCCTGTAATCCTAGCCACTCAGGAGACTGAGGCAGGAGAATCACTCCAACCCAGAAGGCGGAGGTTGCGGTGAGCCAAGATGGTGCCATTGCACTCCAGCCTGGGCAACAACAGCGAAACTCAGTCTCAAAAAAAAAAAAAAAAGCAAGCAAATATTATTCAATTTTTATTAAAAAAATAAAGAAGAAAAAAAGTCAAACTCTGAAAGGGAGTTTCTATATGTTTTTGTAAATGAAGAAAACAGGAAGGAAACATTTATATCAAATTCTTAGCAGTGAATGAATCAGGGAGTTGCATTGGAGAGCAGTGGAGCGGCTATTAACTTTATTTTAGATAATTCTTTATTGTTTGAATTGCTACAAAAGATATACATGACTTTCATAATTCAAATGATCAGTATCTTTAAAAACAGAATTAGGGGTAAAAATTCAAAGCAAATCATATTACTTTGACAATCACTCAAAGGCAGGGTGGGCCTGCCTTCCTGGAACTGAGTCTTAGAGACCCAGCTGAGGTTTGTGTCTTAATAGAAGGCACCCCAGTTAGGCATAGAGTTAAGTTGAAGGAGTGCTTTTCAATAAAGCCAAGATTTCCCTTGAAAAACAGTCTTGACTCTTCTCTAATACATGCCAAAGGCTTGAATAAGACCCCAAAATAATGTACTATAGAACAGGTGTCAGCAGATGTTTTCTGTAAAAGAACAGATAGTAAATATATGATGGTGTGTGGCTGTAACATATACAGTTTCTGCCACAACTACTCAGCTCTGTTGTTATTGTGCAAAAATAGCCTTACACGGCCACAGTCGGATTCGCTGCCGCAGCAGCCGCCACCCCCAGGAGCCGCCGGGACCCTCGCGTCGTCGCCGCCGCGGCCCAGATCCCCACACCATGCCGTCGGAGAAGACCTTCAAGCAGCGGCGCACCTTCGAACAAAGAGTAGAAGATGTCCGACTTATTCGAGAGCAGCATCCAACCAAAATCCCGGTGATAATAGAACGATACAAGGGTGAGAAGCAGCTTCCTGTTCTGGATAAAACAAAGTTCCTTGTACCTGACCATGTCAACATGAGTGAGCTCATCAAGATAATTAGAAGGCGCTTACAGCTCAATGCTAATCAGGCCTTCTTCCTGTTGGTGAACGGACACAGCATGGTCAGCGTCTCCACACCAATCTCAGAGGTGTATGAGAGTGAGAAAGATGAAGATGGATTCCTGTACATGGTCTGTGCCTCCCAGGAGACGTTCGGGATGAAATTGTCAGTGTAAAACCAGAAAAAATGCATCTCTTCTAGAATTTTTTAAACCCTTACCAAGGAAAAAAAAAGGGATGTTACCAACTGAGATCGATCAGTTCATCTAATCACAGATCATCAAACAGTAGTGTTCCCACCTAGGAGTGTTAGGAAGTTGTGTTTGTGTTTCAAGCAGAAAAACTGAGCTCCAAGTGAGCACATTCAGCTTTGGAAACTATATTATTTAATGTAGGCTAGCTTGTTTTCAAATTTTAAAAGTTTAAAAATAAAATACTTTGCATTCTAAAAAAAAAAAAAAATTGCCTTACACAATGTGTAAGTGAATGAGGATGGCTGTGTTCCAATACAATTTTATTTATAAGAGAAGTAGCTGGCCAGATTTGACCTGGGGCTATAGTCTGCCGACCACTGGTATAGAACATGGGCATAACGATCTTTTAGAAGCAAACTTCTAAGGCCGATTGAGGTGGCTCATGCCTGTAATCCCAGCACTTTGGGAGGCCGAGGTGGGTGGATCACCTGAGGTCAGGAGTTCGAGACCAGACTTACCAACATGGTGAAACCCCATCTCTACTAAAAATACAAAAATTAGCTGGGCATGGTGGCGAGTGCCTGTAGTCCCAGCTGCTCGGGAGGCTGAAGCAGGAAAATCGTTTGAACCTGGGAAGTGGAGGTTGCAGTGAGCCAAGATCCTGGCATAGCAGTCCAGCCTGGTCGGCAAGAATAAAACTCTGTCTCAAACAACAACAACAACAACAAAAAGAAACAAATGGAAGTATATGTGATTTTAAATAGAAGTATATGTAATGTGCATACAATAAAAGTATACAAATAATTTTTAAGAAGGGAACACCTCTTTGTAAGTGCCACCCAGATGAAGATATACAATGTTACCCAATCCCAAAAGTGTTCCTCCTGCGCCTCCGAGTCATCCCTATCACCACTGCCAAAGCTAACCGCAGATTAGACTTAGAGCCTCCACATTTGTTTTCATTAGTTTTTAACCTTATGTAAATGAAATCATATAGCTCGTTCTTTCACTCAGTGGCATGTTAGTGAGTGTATGTGTGATTGTATGGGTTTGTCCAACTTCAGGCTATATTGCATAATGCCACATGCAGTGTTGCATTTATAGCATTGAACAAATATGCCACACTTTACTTATCTTTTCCACTATGATAATATTTGGGTGGTTTCTAGTTTGAGGCTATTATCAATAATGCCACTATGAACATTCTTGAACATATCTTTGGATCCATATTTACACATCACTACTAGGCATATTCTTGGAGTGTGTATGCTTATGTTCAGCTTTAGGAAATGCTACTAAACAATTTTCTGAAGTGGTTGTACTAATTTGGACTCCCACCATCTGTATACAAGGGTCTCAGCTTCTCTAAGCATTAACAACACTTGGTATTAACAGGTTTTCTTTTCTTTTTTTTTCCTGTAAACTTAGCCATTTTTACATGTGTAAGTGTAAAATTTATATATAGTAAGGTGCAAAAATCTTAGCTTAGTTTTATTTACATATGTAAAAATCTCACTGTGGTTTTAATTGCATTTAATTGACTAATGATATTGACTCCTTTTTGACAGGTTTATTGGCCATTTGGATTTCTCTTTTGTAAAAAGCTTGTGTGTTTTGCCAATTATTTTTTAATTGCATTTTTTTCTTATTAATTTGCAGGCATCCTTTTTAAATATTCTGAATATGAATCCTCTGCTTGATATCTTTAGTTCAACTATCTTCTCCCATTCTGTGGTTTGCATTTTTGTTCTCTAATGGGATATTTTGATGAACAGAAGATCTTAATTTTAATGAAGTCCAATTGATCAACTGTTTGCCCTTCCTTCCTTTCTTCCTTCCTTCCCTCCCTCCCTCCTTTCTTTCTTTCTTTGTTTCTTTCTTTCTTCTTTCTTTCTTCTCTTTCTCTCTTTCTTTCTTTTTCTTTCTTTCTTCTTGCCTCTTTCTCTCTTTCTTTCTCTCTCCTCTCTTCCCTTCCTCCCTCTCTCCCTCCCTCCCTACCTTCCTTCCTTCCTTCCTTCAACAGGCTCCTGCTCCATTGTCCAGGCTGGAGTGCAGTGGCGTGATCTCAGCTCACTGCAACCTCTGCCTCCTGGACTCAAGCCATCCTCCCATCTCAGCCTCCCAAGTAGCTGGGGCCACAGGCAGGTGCACTGCCACCACACTCCGCTAATTTTTGTATTTTTTTCTGTAGAGATGGGGTTTCTTCATGTTGCCCAGACTGGTCTCAAACTCCTCGCCTCAAGCAATCCGCCTACCTCAGCCTCCCAAATTGCTGGGATTACAGGCATGAGCCACTGCACCCAGCCAGCTGTTTTCTTTATGGTTAGTATTTTTTTCTTTTTCTTTCCTTTTTTTTTTTTTTTTTGATAGAGTCTGTCTTAGTCACCCAGGTTGAAGTGCAGTGGCATAATCTTGGCTCACTGCAACCTCCGCTTCCTGGGTTCAAGCGATTCTCATGCCTCAGGCTCCTGAGTAGCTGGGACTACAGGAGTGTACCATCATGCCTGGCTAATTTTTGTGTTGTTAGTAGAGATGGGGTTTCACCATGTTGGCCAGGCTGGCCTCAAACTCCTGACCTCAGGTGATCTGCCTGCCTCGGCCTCCCAAAGTGCTAGAATTACAGGCGTGAGCCACTGCGCCCAGCCTATGGTTAGTATTTTCATGTCCTGTCTTAGAAATGTTTCCCCATCCTGAGGACATAAGGATATCCTCCCATGTCATATCCTAGATTTATTGTTTTAGTTTACACATTTCAGTCTACAACCATCATAGTAATCATAACCAGAAATATATAATGGGTAGATATGACCCATTGCAATATTTTCAGTCCCTCATGGTCTTCCAGAACTTTCTGTTGCCCATGAGAGGTGGAGTCTATTTCCCCTTCCCTTCAACCTGGGTTGGCCTCTATGACTGTTTCAACCAATAGAATAAAGCGGAAGAGGCACACGTATCCTTCCAAAGATAGCTCAGAGAAGGTAATATGGCTTCCACCTGGCCCTCTCTCATTCTCTCAGGACACATGCTTTGGGTGCTGTGATCACCACATAAGAAGTATGATTCTAGGCCAGGCATGGTAGCTCATGCCTGTAATCCCAGCACTGTGGGAGGCTGAGCGGATGGATCACCTGAGCTTAGGAATTCGAGACCAGCCTGGCCAACATGGCGAAACCCTGTCTTTACTAAAATTAGCCAGGCATGGTGGAGCATGCCTGTGATCCCAGCTACTTGGGAGGCTGAGGCACAGAATCGCTTGAACCCAGGAGGCGGAGGTTGCAGTGAGCTGAGATTGTGCCACTGCACTCCAGCCTGGGCAATAGAGTGAGACTCAGTCTCAAAAAGCACAAAAAAACAAAGAAACAAATCTGGTTCCCTGAAGCCACCACAACGGAGAGATCACATGGAGAAACCACATCAAGATAGAGAGAGAGACGCCCAAGGAACCAGCTCTTCTGGCCACCAGCTCCACAGGTCTTCCTGATCCATACACCAGACTTGAGTGTGAAGAAGCCTTCTAGGTGACCCCAACGGTAGCCACATGTGATATCCTGAGCTAGAATTGTCCAGTCAAGCTGCTTATGAATCTTTATTCTACAGAAACCATGAAGGATAACAAATGAATCCAGCCCAGCATGGTGGCTCGTACCTGTAATTCCAGCACTTTGAGAGGCTGGGGAGGGAGGATCACCTGAGGTCAGGAGTTCAAGACCAGCCTGGCCAATATGGTGAAACCCCGTTTCTGTAAAAATACGAAAGTCAGCCGGGCATGGTGGCAGGCACCTGTAATCCCAGCTACTCAGGAGGCTGAAGCAGGAGAATCACTTGAACCTGGGAGGTGGAGGTGGCAGTGAGCCCAGATCGCACCACTGCACTCCAGCTTGAGCAACACAGCAAGACTCCATCTCAAACAAACAAACAAACAAACAAATGAACATTGTTTTAAGCCACTATGGTTTGGGCTTATTCGTTACCCGGCAATAGATGATTGCAACAGAAGGCAAGAAGACCAGCCATCTCTCCACACTCTAACCTGGCACTAATTTGGAGGGGGATAAGCTTGGTCTCCACGCCTGCTCCTTATTTCAAGGGTGTGTTCTCAACCCCCAAAGGCAAAGAAGGCCTTGACTTTCCCTTAGAGAGCCTCATTTCCATCTTAGTGCCTATGCAAGTAGCAGAGCACATTCATGAAAAGAGAAAGTCCTGGAGATTTAAGAGATGGGAAAGATGAGATAAGAAAGATAAGAAATCCCCCTTGGCAACCCCTGAAGAGTAGTGAGGTTTTGGTGCTCATCCAGAGAGATTAGCAAGGAACACTTGAGGAGTATCAGTCAGAAAGATCCATGAGGGGCTTGGGGGACACTTTATTCCTCGAAAAGAGGAAATAAGGCAGATTTCACGGAGATCTCCTGGCTCTGGAGCGCCTGCCTCTCAGCTTTGGCTCCAAGGAGATTCAGCAGCTCAGGGTGGAGAAAGCTCATTCCAAGTGGGCCCAGGACCTACAGGAAGCCTCTCTGAAACAGCCCAAGGGAAATGCTGATTCTACTTACTGGTGGCTGAGGGAAATCAAGGTGGTTGCTTCATTTATAGGACTATACTTCTCCCTTTTTAAATACATGCTGATATAATTTGGATATTTATCCCCACCCAAACTCATGTTGAATTGTAATCCCCAATGCTGGAGGTAGGGCCTGGTGGGAGGTATTGGGATCATGGGGACAGATCCCTCATGAATGGCTTGGGCCATCCGTTTGGTGAGAAGTGAGAGATCTGATGGTTTAAAAGGGTGTGGCCCCTTCCCCTCACTCTCTCTCTTGCTCCTGCTTTTGCTGTTGACATGCCTGCTCCCCCTTTGCCTTCTGCCATGATTGGAAGCTTCCTGAGATCTCCCCAGAAGCAAATGCTGCTACGCTTCCTATATAGCCTGCAGAACGGTAAGCCAATAAAACCTCCTTTCAGGATGCAGCGAGCTGAGATCACGCCACTGCACTCCAGCCTGGGCGACAGAGTGAGACTCCATCTCAAAAAACAAAATGAAACAAAACAAACAAACAAGCAAACAAAAATTACCCAGTCTCAGGTATTTCTTTTGTTGTTGTTTTTGGTTGGTTGGTTTTGGAGCATGGTCTGACACCTGGGCTGGAGTGCAGTGGTGCAATCATGGTTCACTGCAATCTCGACTTCCAGTTTCAGGTGATCCTCCTGCCTCAGCCTCTTAAGTAGCTGAGACTACAGGTGCGCACCACCATGCCCAGCTAATTTTTGTTTTTCTTGTAGAGACGGGGTTTTGCCATGTTGCCCAGGCTGGTCTTGAGAACTCCTGGGCTCAAGTGGTCCACCTGCCTTGGCTTCCCAAAGTGCTGGGGTTACAGTCATGAGCCATCGTGTCTGGCCCAATCTCTGTGTCATCATTGTCATATGGTGTTCTTTCTGTGTGTCTCTGTCTAGACGTGGCCATCTTCTTACAAGGACACTAGTCTTATTGGATTAGGAGCCTACTCTGCGTCAGTAGAACGGCCTAACACACATGCTTAACCTGCTAATAATGACAAGAACACCTACCTCTATCTACAGTAATGTGATTTACTTGTTTGCCTGTTTATTCCCTGCCCCCACCCCCACCCTCACCCTGCCAGAGCAGCTGTAGGAGATGGAAGACTTTATTCCTGTGGCTCTTGCCACCTCCTCTGCACCTAACCCAGTGGCAGGCACAGAGAGGGGCTCTGAAATTATTTCCTGAATGAATGGGTAAATGAATGAATGACGAAGTCAATACATGATAATAGCAATCCTTGATGAGTGCCTGCCTGATGCAAGCACTGTACATAATTTTCTTTCTTTTTTTTTTTGAGACAAAGTCTCACTCTGTCACCCAGGCTGGGGTGCAATGGCGCAATCTCGGCTCACTGCAACCTCCACCTCCCAGGTTCAAGCAATTCTGGTGCCTCAGCCTCCCGAGTAGCTGGAATTACAGGCATGCACCACCACACCCACTAAATTTTGTAGCTTTTGTAGAGACGGGGTTTCGCCATGTTGGTCAGGCTGGTCTCAAACTCCTGACCTCAAGTGATCCAGCCACCTCGGCCTCCCAAAGTGCTGGGATGACAGGCGTGAGCGACCACGTCCAGCCTGTACATGATTTCCTGTCCTCCTTCAGCCTTGCCTCCAGGGAGGGATAGTTTCCTGGTTTTCCAGAGGTTAGAAAACTTGCTTGAAGTTCCAGAATCACTAAGGGCAGAATCCCATTTCAAACTCAGCCCTTCTGAACTCCTGGGCTCAAGCCATCCTCCCACCATGCCTGGCTTATTCTAAAATGTTTTGTAGAGACTGGGTCTTGCTGCATTGCCCGGGCTAGTCTCGAACTCCTGACCTGAAGCGATCCTCCCACCTAAGCCTTCTAAAGCTCTGGGATGACAGGCGTGAGCCACAGCACACGACCTTTTTATTTTTTTTATTTTTGTATCAAGCTCTTTACTCCCGAGCGCACTCTTAGCCACTCTTAGTCTGCAGGGAATCCACCCACGCTTTTTCCTTTCTTGAGATAAGACAAGAGTGTTTTCCCAAAGGGCCTTGAGCACCAGAGAGCAGAACTCCAAGCTGCTGTGCTGGGCGTGGACCAGGCCCGGCATGGAGCCCACACAGAGCCTCTGACTTAGGCCGGGGGTTCTCATCCCATTTCCGTGGCCTGGGAACTCAGGGGGAAAGAGCAATTAAATTAGAGGGGTCAAAGAAGGAGGAGGAGGGTGGGGAGCTGGTGGCCAGACCCAGAAAGGCCAGATTTCAATTTGCATAATAATTTTGTTAGCAACAATGGTCATCCAGGACATCTCTTTAAAGGCTGTAATGTTAATTTAATGGGAAAAAAGCTAATACAATTCCCCCAGAATTTTTCAATTAAATTAATGTGATGGGCTTTAATGGATAGCTTAAGTAGAGAGCGTGAATAGGAGAAATATTGCATAAATTATCCATACATTTATATATGTGCTGCCCGTATATGTAATCTCTCCGCTCTAAGGTTTTGACATATGAGAGGTCTTATGCTTAAATCTGGCAACAAGTTATGACTCTATTTCAATTAAAGTGACCCTTTTATCATTCAAAGAAGGGGGGGATGCTCCTTCCCATGTAGCTTCCACACAGCCCTTCCTTTCAACAACACACCAGAAGATTCCAGTCTTAAAGAAACAGAAGGCTCGTGTAACAATAACCCATGAGAACACACATGTGCACAGAAAGTCGATGATATGAGAAATCTGTAGATGCAGAATCTCGTTCCCTGCTCTCTGCTCCCCAAAGACACTTGATGGAGCAGAAAATAAAATGGATTAAATTTCAAGGACCCCTTTATCTTCTTGAGCCTATATTTATTTGTTCATATGTTCCATTTAGCAGATGTTTACTGGACACCCACTAAATGCTGGATGCTGTTCAAGGTGCTTCAGGGAATCGTGCAGTGAGCAATCAGATGTGATCACTGTCCACAGTATACTGTCCCTCTTGGTCAAATCTCATAACCATATACGAAATGGTGCTGATTTATTTCTGTAAAAAATGCAAGATAATATAAATTCAGGTAGCCTTTTCGTGCCTCCATTTGATTCTATTTTAACTCCCTTCATTTAATTTAATTATTTTAATTTTTCTTTTTTTGAGACAAGGTCTTGCTCCATGGCCCAGGCTAGAGTGGAGTGGTGTAATCACAGTTTACTGCAACCTTGACCTCCCAGGCTTAAGCGATTCTCCCACCTCAGCCCCCTGAGTAGCTGAGACTACAGGCATGTGCCACCGCATCAGTGAGCGCTTTAAAATTTTTTAAAATTTAAAAATTTTTTTGTAGAGTCAAGCTTCTGCTGCGCTACCCGGGTTGATCTTGAACTGCCAGGCTCAAGCAATACACCTGCCCTGGCCTCCCAAGATATTGGGATTACAGGCATGAGCCACTGCATCTGGTCAAATGGAAGCATTGATTTTAAATTTTTTAAGTTTTTAACTATTATGGATACATAACAGTTGTCTGTGTGATATGGCTTGAACATATGTCCTTGCCAAATCTCATGTTGAAATGTGATCCCCAGCGTTAGAGGTGAACCTGGTGTTTGGGTGGTGGGGGTGGATCTCTCATGGCTTGGTGCTGTCCTCACAATAGCAAGTGAGCTCTCACGAGATCTGGTTAAGTGTGCGGCATCTCATCCCCCACTCTCTCCCTTCTTGCTCCTGCTTCCCCCTTATGACTTGCCAGCTCCTGCTTCACCTTCCACCATGAGTAAAAGCTCCCTGAGGCCTCCCCAGAAGCCAAGCAGATGCCAACACCATGCTTCCTGCAGCCTGCAGAACTGTGAACCAATTAAACCTCTTTTCTTTATAAATTACCCTATCTCATGTATTCCTTTATAGCAATGCAAGAACGGCCTAACACACCATGCCTTTATTTATCACTTGTAAAATAAAGATAATAATTGTGTTAGCCTTAAATCAGTGTCCAAGATGGCCCCAACCATCTCACTGCCTCCTATGGGCCTTATTCACATCTTTGCATAGGACCCTCCCACACTGAGTAGTGTACCGGGTAGCATGTTGTAGAAATGGGAGGCTGTGACTTCTAAGGCAAGGCTATGGAAGACATTGCAGCCTCTTCTTTGCTCTCTCTTTTGGCTCATTTGCCGAAAGAGAGGGAGGCCAGCCACCATGTTGTGAGGACATTCCAGTAGCCCTGCAGGGAGGTCTGTGTGATGAGGAACTGAGGTCTCCTGCCAATGGTCAGATCACCTTGCCAACAGCCACATAAGCGAGTCACCATGGAGCAGATCCTCCAGCCCCCAATGAGCCTTCAGATGAGACTGCAGCCCCAGCCAACATCTCAACTGCACCTTCATGAGAGAATAGCCAGCTAAGCCACTTCCAGATTCCTGACCCACAGAGACCTCATAAAGTAGTGTTGATTGTTGCCTTAAGCCACTAAGTGTCAAGAATAATTTGTGATGCATCAATAAATAAATGAGATGGTTTTCTCCCTTTCCTGCTGGCCGTAGGTGAAATTACGGTGGAGGCAAAGTAGGTTTTCTCATTAAGGTCCCCATACCTGCTTTCTGCTTACCTTTCCTAAAGCAGCACCCCTGTTCCCTTGCTTAAGCTTGTAGCTGATGCAAGTTTAATATGACCACTGTCAGAGGTATTGTCATTTTAATTACAGTCTCTTGAAAATCAAAAAAGGATTTCAAGCCTAAAGAAATGAAGGTCTCCAGGTAAAATCTCTGTAAACTGGGAAGCTGTTAGGTGATGGGAGCTTCCAGGGATCCTCAAATCACCTCTCTAGGGATCCATGCTTTTTTACTCAACTCCTAGCATGTCAGCAGCCGAGACAAAAAGGGCACACAAGTGCTGGCACTGACTTATTTCCAGTTTTGTTTTTTTTTTTTGCATCAATCTTTGTTTCCAGAGGCTATTTTCCCCCATCTTAGGCTATGATGGTTCATGATCTGCTGATAGGAAAAATAAAAAGCTAAGTGAGGTTTTCACTGATTGAACTCCAAAACTGGGCTGGATGTGGTGGCTCATGCCTGTAATCCCAGCACTTTGGGAGGCTGAGATGGGCAGATCACGAGGTCAAGAGTTCAAGACCAGCCTGGCCAACATGGTGAAACCATGTCTCTACTAAAAAAAAAAAAAAAAAAAAAAAAAATTAGCCGGGCGTGGTGGCAGGTGCCTGCAATCCCAGCTACTTGGGAGGTCGAGGCAGGAGAATTGCTTGAACCCAGGAGGCAGAGGTTGCAGTGAGCCGAGATAGTGCCACTGGACTCCAGCCTGGGCAACAGAGCAAGTCTCCATCTGAAAAAAAAAAAAAGAAAAAGAAAAAAGAAAAAAAACCTCCAAAACTGACCAACAGTGAGCATTCAGGAAGGCTTGGCCACACCAGCCCACGGAGGTAGCTGCAGACTTGCATGGAGCCCCATGTTGGAATCTTGGCTCTGCCACTTACTGGCTGCAGAAGAATGAGCAAGCCTGTTGACCTCTCTGAGCTTTGTTTTCTCTCCCGTAAAGTGGGGATATTAATAGTTGTCTCATAGCCTGGCACGTAGGAGGAGCTGAATGCACGCTGCTGCTGCTCTTATATGGCACCCTATGGAGAGTGTGTCAAAGGCAGCAGGAAATAGCATTTCTGCTCAGCATCTCTCAAACTATTTAATTTAAGCTTTCAAGGACTGATACCTAAGGGAGATGATGAACCTACAGCACTAGGTGGTGAGCGCTTTCTGTCCAGTGAGCCCACCTACCAAGAACTCCACTGCCTGCCAGGGTAGGTGGCTCGCTCTGTGCTGATTTCTCAAGAGAGTGTCCCTCTGAAACTGACTACTGTGTTGGCCCCTTTCCCGGGAGGCATAAGGGTGACAGCAAGGGGCAGGGGAGCCAGAGCTCCTTAGGGGAGCAGAGGAATTCTCTCCTTGGTGGGATCAACTCTGATTTGAAGTGGAGACAGGCTGAGAGCTTGAGTCTTCAAGGGCAACACATTTAGGGGAGTCATGGTGTGTCTGCCTCTGGAGCAGCAGAGCAGAGAATGCGGGACTCTTGGTTTCTTCACTTGGTTTGTACAAGGATGTGACTCAAGGGTTAGCCCAGCCATCTTCATCACCATGTGGACAAAGTCAGTCTGCAGGAAGAGAGAGGGACACACAGCTTCTACTTCTTAACCATTTCCTTCTGTTTCTGAGCAGACACCTGGATCCTTGTGCTTGACAACATGGTTTTAGACTACCCTTGATGATATACAGCAGAAACAGAATGGGAATTAACCAGGCAGATGAGCATTAACTCCTCTGTATTGTAAAAGAAAGTGAGCAGGCAGTGTCACAGAAATCATGTAGCCAGATAAGAGCTATCAATGACCCATGTTTGCCCTTGATAAGAGCTGCTCTTTGCACCTATAAAGGAGAAAAGAGGTGGTGACTGAGCAATGATCAAGAGAGCGTCCATTAATTAGTCCCTCCATCCATGCGTCCATATATCAACTCAACCACTCATTCATCCATCCACCCATCCATCAATCCATCAGTCTGTTGATCCAGTCAGCCAGCCAACCATTCATCCATCCACCCACCCATCCATCCTTCCATCCATTCATCCATCCATCATCAACTCATCATCCCTTCATCCATCTAGCTACCCATCCATACATTGTATCCATTCATCCATCCATCCACCCATCCAACCATTCACCCATTCACTCAGCAAACTGTCATGGAGCACCTTTCATATCCTTGACCCTATGAGAGATTTCCAATTCAATGAACATTTATTAAAACAGTATCCATCAACTTATCCACCCCATCCATCCATCCAGTCACCCATCCAACCATCCACCGACCACTCCACTACCATATCTTCCAACGTGCAAGAAATGTTATCTGGCAAAGCAGTAACAGCTCTGCGCCTGCTCTGCTAGATGCTGAGGATGCAAAGAAAAATAAGCCAGGGTCCCTCAAGGAGTTTACAGTTTGGTTGTAGGTGGGGGATAGAAATGTAAACATCCAGTAGAGTAAGGAAAGTACTGAAGGAACACAGAGGAGGCCAAACCGTCCATAGTTTACATTGGCCCACCACAGTGGGATTGGGGTTGCCCAGAGCTGAGCAGTGTCCTCACTCAATCACCACCATATATAACTGCATATTTTGTGGGGAGTCAGTGAGGTGGGAGAAGAGCTAACTCATCACAGTGGACAAGTTTTATTTGACTAACACCTTTTGAGAGAACCACTGCTCTCCACTTCTCAGTCATTGTAGTTCAGAGACAGCTGAACCCACCCATCTGCTCCAGGCCTGGCTAAGGAGAAAACCAAATACGCCTGGCCACTGGAACAGGCTCTGAGAGGTAGCCATTGAAGCCATCCTGGGGACCTTGGCTGTCCTGGGGAAAAGGGCAGAGTCTCCTTCTAAAGCTGATGAGCCTGGAGCTGCTGGGACCCATGCTTCCCACCATGAAGAAGGAGGGTGTCTGAGAATGATGCCCAAAGGGAAGCATTGCTGAGAGGAGAGAGAGCAGGGGATGAAGGCATTGGTTGAGCTTCTGGATCCAGCTGCGCTGAAAGCCACAATAGAGACCTCGCCTGACACATTAACAGAAAAATCCCTCATTTGGTCTCAGTTAGTCTATGGTGGCTTCCTCCACAAACCTGGGGACATTTGGAAAGGAGCAGGAACTGCTTTGCCAGGTAATGATGCTTGCATGTTGGGAGATACAGTGGATGGATGAATGGATGGATGGATGGATGGATGGATGGATGGATGGATGGATGGATGGATAGATGGATTGATGGGGTGGATATATTGATGGATACTATCTTAATCACCAGTCACTCACAGCTTCAAGTACAAAAAGCGACTCCTATCAAGGGCAGATAGTGTTCACTGATTCTCTCATTCAGTCAATAATTGGCCTGAATTTTAGTTTCAGCCCTGCCTCTAACCAGCTGTGTGACCTTGGGTTAGATGCTCTCCCTCTCTGGGCTTCAGACACATCAACTGTAAAGTGAATGAATTATATTACATCACATTTCTTGAAGCATAATCAGAACAGTAGTCCTTTGGGATACACTGGAAAATAAACTATATTTATGGGTTGAATTCTGTCTTGCAAAAGAGATATGTTGAGGTACTGCCGGTACCTCAGAATGAGACGTTATGTGGAAATAAGATCATTGTAGTTAGTTCAGATGAGATCATACTGAAGTAGAGTGGGCCCCTAATCTAACAGGATTGGTGTCCTTGTAAGAAGACGGCCACATGTAGACAGAGAGACCCAGAGAAAGAACAGCATGTGACAATGATGAAACAGTTTGGGCCAGGCACGGTGGCTCACACCTGTAATCCCAGCACTTTGGGAGGCTGAGGAGAAAGGATCGCTTGAGCCCAGTAGTTTGAGACCAGCCTGAGCAACACAGGGAGACCCCATATCTACAAAAAATAAAAATAATGAGCCAGGCATGGTGGCGGGTGCCTGCAGTTCCAGCTACTCGGGAGGCTGAAGCAGGGGAACTGCCTGAGCCTGGGAGGTCGAGGCTGCAATGAGCCATCTTCTTGCCACTGCACTCCAGCCTGGGTGACAGAGCAAGACCCTGTCAAAAAAAAAAAAAAAAAAAAAGACAAAGGAAAAGAAAAAGGAACAGAGATTGGAGCAATACAGCTACAATCCAAGGAACACCAAAGATTGCTGGCCACCACCAGAAGCCAGGAACAGACAAGGAAGGATTCTCTACAGATTTCAGAGGGAGCACAGTCCCATCAACACCTTGATTTCTGACTTCCAGCCTCCAGAACTGTGAGACAATAAATTTCTGTTGTTTAGAGCTCGCGCACCTCCAATGTGTGGCATTTGGTTAGAGCAGCCCTAGGAGACTAATCCAGGAGTCAAGGACGCTTGCTAATTCTGCATACTGTACTCCTCTGAGATCCATCATGCACACTATCGTATTAAAGGCTCTAAGAAGTCCTCCCGTAAAGACCCATTTAAATGCGTCTAATCCAGCACTTCCACAACTTCTTTGATGACTCCTAAGATTAGAAGATCTCTAAGATCTTTTGCGACTGCAACTGCGTGGGGTGTTAGGAAGCGGACAAGCAATGAATGTGGGTGAATCTGGCTGAATGTCTATACTTTTTATATTTCAACTTTTTATTTATTTATTTTTTATTTATTTTTTATTTTTTCTGAGACGGGGTCTCACTATGTCACCCAGGCTGGAGTGCAGTGGTGCAATCTCGGCTCACTGCAATCTCCACCTCCCAGGTTCAAGCAATTCTCCTGCCTCAGCCTCCCAAGTAGATGGAATTACAGGCATGTGCCCCCACGCCCAGCTAATTTTTTTGTATTTTTAGTAGAGATGGGGTTTCACCATGTTGGCCAGGCTGGTCTCGAACTCCTGACCTCAGGTGATCCACCCACCTTGGCCTCTCAAAGTGCTGGGATTACAGGCGTGAGCCACCGCGCCCCCTCTGTTTTAACTTTTTAAAGAATACACGTAAAGTATGTGGTTTAAAAATATCCAAACAGTACAAAAAGCTGTATAGGAAAAATACATTCCTGTCCCATACCTCTCCCCCAGGCCCTTCAGAAGACACAGCTCCCCATGTTCTTATTTATTCTTCCAGAGTGTTCTACACATATATACACCCATATAGAGATACGATTCTTGTTTTGCACAAATGGTCATCTAGTATATTTATGATTTTTCTACTGTGTTTCTTAAAAAATTAACATATCTTAGAGATTTCTGTATTATAAGTACAAATCTGGTGCTTATCCTTGTCTGGATAATTCTGTGTTGTGGGTCTGTTCTGTGCACTGTAAGATATTGAGGAGCATCCCTGGCTTCTACCCACTAGATGCCAGTAGCACCCTGCTAAGTTGTGACAGTGAAGAATGTCTTTAGATGTTGCCAAATGTCCCCTGGGGCAGTAAAGTCACCCCCTGGTGAGAAGCATTGATGTAGCTCTAACTCATTCTCTGTAAAGGCTGTCCAGCCTATGGTGTATGGGGACACTACAGTTCATTATTTATATAACCAGTCCCTTGTTGGTGGATATTTAAGCTATTTCCAGTCCCTGATTAGTATAAACGATTTTTTTTTTTTTTTGAGATGGACTCTTGCTCTGTTGCCCAGGCTGGAGTGCAGCGGCGCAATCTCTGCTCACTGCAAGCTCCGCCTCCCGGGTTCATGCCATTCTCCTGCCTCAGCCTCCCGAGTAGCTGGGACTACAGGCACCCGCCCCCATGCCTGGCTGATTTTTTGTATTTTTTTAGTAGAGACAGGGTTTCACTGGGTTAGCCAGGATGGTCTCGATCTCCTGACCTCGTGATCCACCTGCCTCAGCCTCCCAAAGTGCTGGGATTACAGGCGTGAGCCACCGCGCCCGGCAACAATGTTATAATGAACGTTCTTGTGTCTTTGGCACATAGGTAAGTTTATCTGTAGGATAAACTGTTGCACATTTTCTTGTTCACCACTCAGTAAGTGTTAGTTAAGTAAGCAAAAAAATGGAAAGAGAAAGGCTGGGAGTGGTGGCTCATGCCTGTAATCTCAGCACTTTGGGAGGCTGAGGCAGGTACATCACTTGAGGTCAAGAGTTTGAGACCACTTAGCCACCATGGCGAAACCCCATCTCTACTAAAAATAATAATAATAATAATAGTAATAGGCAAGCATGGTGGCGCATGCCTGTAATCCCAGCTTCTTGGGAGGCTGAGGCACGAGAATCGCTTGAACCTGGGAAGTGGAGGTTGCAGTGAGCTGAGATCACACCACTACCCTCAAGCCTGAGTGACAGAGCAAATCAAAAAAAAAAAGAAAAGAAAAAAAAAGGAAGAAGAAGAATGTGAGCTGAGAGCTTCAGTTCTTATCTTTTAAACCAAGTCGGGGGAATCCTACCTGTTGTTGGAGGAAATGAGGTCAACCCACTGAGAAAGACAGAACCAAGAGATGGAATTTTCATTTAAGCCCCTTGATCCAGTTGTGCCTGAAGCCACCTACTCCTGGCTTTACTCATTCTGTGATCCAATGCATTCTCTTTAAGGCTTAAGCCTGTTTGAGTTGAGGTTTTATAAACTTCAACTTAAAGACTCCTGGGTATAAACAGAAGCATGACTCCTCCAAGAAGCCTGTCTGAACTCAGCCCTCCTTTCTGGCTCCCGCAGACCCTGTGCTGTCTATGCTGAGCCAAGTACCTCCTCTGTGAGAGTCACTGTTCCCTCGTTGGTCTCCTTGCCCCTGTATCTCCAGCACCTGGATCAGAGGGGATGCTCAAAAGGATCCACTGAATGAATGAGTGTTAGTGTCTTACAACTCACAGCCTCGACGCCTCTGCTCAGTGGGGGCTCAATAAATCCACACAAGAAACCTTCTGGCAGCCAGACGAACTTTCTTAACTTGATCCAGGAAGTTCTGCCAAAGGAGCAAAACAATACTCACTCCAGGGCAGGGGCTGCCCGGCAAAGGGAGGCGTTCCTGGGGTGCAGGGAGGGGCGGTCTTCCAGGAATCTCTGCCACCCTAAGCCGCTGGCTGGACATCCCTGGGCAAATGGCCCAGTGGCCTCTGAGGTCTCTGTGCTTAAACCTCCCACTCCCTTCCAGAACAGGTTTGGCCTTATTCAGAACCATCTTATTTCAGCAAATCCTGCCCCAGCTGCTGCACACAAAGCATGCTATTTACAAAGTTAATGTTTACAAAGTGTTCTGAGGGCCTGTGCACAAGTAGGACACTTTATAGGCCAGCAAAAGTGATAAGAACCTCCCCGAACGGCTTCCAATCTGTAAAGGGCCCGAATGCACACAAGTTAACACGAGGAGATCCCAAAAGACTAAGACGGAAGGACAGCAATAAGAATGTACATTTAGGCCTGGGCCAGTGGCTCACACCTGTAATCCCAGCACTTTGAGAGGCCGAAGCAGGAGGATTGCTTGGGCCCGGGAGTTCAAGGCCAGCCTGGGCAACATAGTGAGAACCTGTCTCTACAAAAAAATTCAAAAATTAGCCACATGTGGTGGCTCGTGCACATGGTTCCAATTACTCAGGAGGTTGAGGTAAGAGGAGGCACCGCCCAGGAGGCAGTGGTTGCAGTGAGCCATGATTGCACCACTCCAGCCTAGGCAACAGAACGAGATTCTGTCTTAAAGAAAAAAAGAAAGAAATGGGCCAGGCACAGTGGTTCATGCTTGTAATCGCAACACTTTGGGAGGGTGAGGTAGGAGCATCGCTTGAGCTCTGGAATTTGAGACCAGCCTGGGCAACATATCAAGACTTCGTCTCTACTAAAAATTAAAAAAATAGGCCAGGCGCAGTGGCTCACGCCTGTAATCCCAGCACTTGGGGAGGCCGAGGCAGGCGGATCACGGGGTCAGGAGATCAAGACCATCCTGGCTAACACGGTGAAATCCCGTCTTTACTAAAAATACAAAAATTAGCCAGCATGGTGGCATGTACCTGTAGTCCCAGCCACTCGGGAGGCCGAGACAGGAGAAACGTTTGAACCCAGGAGGCAGAGGTTGCAGTGAGCCGAGATCGTGCCGCTGCACGCCAGCCTGGGCAACAGAGCGAGATTCCGTCTCAAAAAAATAAATAAATAAATAAAAATAAAAAAACAAAACTTAGCCAGGTGTGGTGGTGCAACCCTGTAGTCTTAGCTACTTGGGAGGCTGAGGTGGGAGGATCACTTGAGCCTGGGAAGTAGAGGCTGCAGGGAGATATGATTGTTCCACTGCACTCAAGCCTGGGGGACAGGGCAAGACCTTGTCTCAAAATAAAATAAAATAAATGCACATCTAAATGCCAGCCACATTCATGAGCATGTCATACTGACTGTTAAATGAGCACCTACTATGTGCCAAACACTGTTCTAGGTCCTAAGTGCCCAGCAATGAACAAAAGCCTTCTTTCTAGTAGAGAGAAGTGGGCAAAGAGATAAATAAATACGTTTTTTGTTTTTTGTTTTTTGTTTTTTGAGACAGAGTCTTGCACTGCCGCCCAGGCTGGAGTGCAGTGGCACCATCTTGGCTCACTGCAAGCTCTGCCTCCCGGGTTCACACCATTCTCCTGCCTCAGCCTCCTGAGTAGCTGGGACTACAGGCACCGACCACCACACCTGGCTAATTTTTTGTATTTTTAGTAAAGACGGGGTTTCACCCTGTTAGCCAGGATAGTCTCGATCTCCCGACCTTGTGATCTGTCTGCCTCGGCCTCCCAAAGTGCTGGGATTACAGGCATGAGCCACCGCGCCTGGCCAATAAGTTGTTTCAAACGCAAATAAATGTCATTTAAAATAACAACGCAGGCCAGATAAGGAGGGACTTGGGAGGGGCTTCTTTTGTTGGGAAGTCACTTCTGTTACCTACTCAATCTTCACAACCACTGGATGTCCCTGTCCCCATTTCATGGAAGAGGAGGCTGTAGCTGGGAGAGCACAGTGACCTGCCTCAGACCCAGACAGAAAGAGTAGACTTCATTAAGGGTACCCGGAATCTGTTTTAATCGAGGCTGGTAAGACACACAGACACGGAAACGACTGTCACGAAGGAAGAAGTTGATGATGTCCACAGATGCCTAAAACAGGAAGCATGGCACACCACGCAGGGCTGCACGAGGCAGCACTAGGGTGGGGCAGGAGGCAGGGGAGGTGGGGAAACATGGGCCAGCGCCTTTACTGTGGTTTCCCCAGGAAAAAATAAGCAAGGCAGGGTAAGTGGGTTTAGGATTGGCTCGTTTGAATAATTTCAGCAGGCTCTGGAGGTATAGGGGCTGTCCCTTAGTTGTCTGGTTCCTGGCTCTGGGGTGACTATGGCAGGTAGGTAGTGACCAAGATTATGAAAGTCTAATAAAATAGGCTGCTGGGGGTAGGGTTTCTGGAGGGATTGGCTTGCATTTGAAAGGCATGCTCTCCGGTGACCTGTTCACTTTCTCCAGGAATTGGACAGCTCTGGGAGGGGAAGTCCTTCCAGGGTCACCAAGGCCCCAAGATGTCAAAGCATCAGAATACAGAAAACAAAAGACATGGTTGATACACAGACCCAGCCTAGGGCTTGAGCCGCCCCTTGGGCTGTCCGCAGTCACCATGGGGACATAGACCCTGGAGGACCCTAAGAGGGACCCTCCATCTGTGGAGAGAATGCAACAGGTGGGCTTCAGCTACAAATGGAATTTCTCTTGTGCCACTCAAGATGGTCTCTTGGCATGGACTCATTAATCCCCATAAGCCTGCGGGCAGAATAAAATAAGATATAGAGAGGCACTTACACTGTGGAGCTGATGAGAAGGAAAATGAGTTTGTGCCAGAATACCAAAGAATTGTTTTATTTTCTTATAAATTCTCCCCCATTTCAATTCAGAGTTTGTTATGGAGGGTGGGAAGGGTGTCCTTGATTAAAACAACAAAAACACTGTTTTCAAAAATGTAGCTGGCTGGTGCCCATGTTGTTTTAATTTGCTGAGACCAGATTGTCCAGCCCTCATGGATTTGATCCCAGGCAGGCTAGTTTGACTTATTCAGAGAAAACTCTGTTTTTCAGCCACAAACTGTACCCCTAACCCTGGCCAAATATGTTGCAATTCCTGCTAAAGGTTCCAACAGTGGTTGTCCAGGAATCCTGAGCCCACATTCCGAGTCCCATCTCCAGACTCTCCTTGCATGCCCTCCACATGCCACTGGCCCCTGGAGGAACCACCCTGCAGAGAGACCACAGAACTGCTCTAGGCTTAGCCTCACAGTAAAACAAGACCAGGTACAAGCATGTGGTAGGTACTCTGTAGTTGTTTGCTGAATGAATGAGTGAATGATTGGAGGGGTGGAGAGGTGGATGGGTGGATGGATGGATAGGTGGATGGATGGATGGATGGATGGATGGATGGATGGATGGATGGATGGATGTGTGGGAGGATGGTTGGATGGGTAGATGGACAAATGGATGAAAAGGAAAATAAGTGAATGGGTAGGAGGATAGGTGGCTGGGTGGGTGGATGGATGGATGGATGGATGGATGGATGGATGGATGGATGAAGGGATGGAAGGGATGGATGGATGGTTGAATAGGTAAATGGGTGGATGGGTAGATGGCTGAGAGGGTAGATGGATGGAAGAGTGGATGGATAGATGGATGGACAGATGAATGGATGGATGCATGTATGCATGGATGGATGGATTGGTGGGGAGATGGATGGATGGATGAATGGTCTTACTGATCATGAGCCTTTTGCATTTCAGGATGAGCTTCAGAACTGAGAGACAATGTAGCATAGGGATGAACGTGCTGGAGTTAGACAGATCTGAGACTGCAAATTAAATTAAAGTGGTATCTAGTTTGTAGGGTAGTCGAAAGATGATGTGTGCACCAAGCACAGCACCTGACCAGGGAGGGGCTGGTGACTGTTTTCATGGACAAGGGTGAAGCCTGTTGTAATCTAAAAGATACTGGGAAAATAGCTTTCTGCTGAAAATGTCTTTAGCCCAACCTTATTCCCTGCAGGTAAAAAAATTTCTACCATCAGAAATGCAGATCTTCAAGAGTCATACAAATGGCCAATAATGTGGAAAAGATTCAAAGTTACTAATAATCAAATAAATGCAAATTTAAATAAATAGATACCAAATTAGCAAAGTTTTTTTTTAATTAAAAAATTCACTTAGTTTGCAAAGTGTTCAGAAAGGAAGACCCCAATATAGTATTTATAGGAATATTAATTGGTATAACCTTTCTCAATAGCAATTTGGAAATTCGTACCAAGAGTCTCAAGCCATACCCTTTGACCCATTAAACCTACTTTTAGGAAGTTTTTCTAAAGAAATAATCAGAGAGATAATCAAATGTCTAGGTGCAAGGAAATTTATTGCAGTGCTATTTATATTAGCAAAAAGAAAAGGGGAAGGGGATGGCCCTTCTCTGTTCAACTGACTTATGATCAAGACAGCATCCATCAATATATCCATCCATCCATTCAATCATTCATTAATTCATTCAGCAAATAGTTATTGAGTACCTACCATATGCTTGGCCCTATGAGGGATTTCCAATTCAGTGATTAGATAATTTATAATATACCTATATAACGGATTATTATCCAGACAATAAAATGAATTTTCCCAAAATATTAAATAAATTATTTGTTTATTTATTTTTATTTTTATTTTTTGAGATGGAGTCTCACTCTGTCACCCAGGCTGGAGTGCAGTGGAGTGATCTCAGCTCACAGCAACCTCTGCCTCCCGGGTCCAAGTGATTCTTCCACCTCAGCCTCCCGAGTAGCTGGGATTACAGGCGTGTGCTGCCACATTTGTCTAATATTTGCATTTTCAGTATAGATATGGTTTTAGCATGTTGGCCAGGCTGGTCTCAAACTCCTGACCTCAAGTGATCCACCTGCCTTGGCCTCCCAAAGTGCTGGGGTTACAAGCATAAGCCACCACACCTGGCCTTAAACAATTTTTTTAAATGCTTAAAATGTAATGTTGAAAACAAATACAGGCGGGATGCAGTGGCTCATGCCCTTTGGGAGTGAGCCACCAGCACCCAGCACTTTGGGAGGACAAGGTGGGCAGATCACCTGAGGTCAGGAGCTCGAGACCAGCCTGGGCAACATGGTGAAACCCCGTCTCTAATAAAAATACAAAAAATTAGCTGAGTGTGGTGGCAGGCGCCAGTAATCCTAGCTACTTGGGAGGCTGAGGCAGGACAATTGCTTGGACCCAGGAGTCAGAGGTTGCAGTGAGCCAAGATCGCACCTGTGTACTCTAGCCTGGGTGACAGAGTGAGACTCTGTCTCAAAAAAAAGAAGAAATACAATATGAAATTTTATATATTAGATGGTCTTATCATTTTAAATGTATATACATACATACACACACACAGGAAAAAACACATGGTGATAAGTTTCAGTGACTTAATTCTTCCTTTATTTTTCTGTATTAATGAAGTTTTTTACACTGAGCACATCCAGAAAACAAAGTTATCAGAGTTATTTTTTCTGGGTTGTTTGAAAGTTTTTACAATGAACATGAATTATATAATTAGAAAAGAATAAAGCTATTGTCACTGAGAATAAACTAAAACCAAGAAAATCAATTAAACCTTCAGGTTGGTTCATACATTCTTTTATACCTATTATGTACCAGGCAGTGTGCTGGAGATGACAAAGATACAGGCTCCCATCTCTAGACATTCATGCTAATAGGTAATTGTCCTAAGTTCTATGAGTGTATATGTGGTGCTGTATGAGCACAGAAGAAAGAATTTTTGCCTGGGTTTATGGAGGGCAGGGGACAGGAATGAGGTCTCTGAATCAGTGGCACTGGAGAGGGTTTTGAAGGCAGAGAGGTAAGGACATGGAATATAGGCAAGGACTTGGGTCTCATCATGGAACAGTGAGAGAGGCAGGGTCTCCAGGGATTCCTGAACGTAATCCCATGAAGTTCTGGAATCACCGAGGTCTGAGAACCAGATGCAGCCCACAGACCTGTTTTGTCTGACCTGCATTGTTTTACAGCTTGGACCATGTCTCATAAAACTCCAGATTCCTGGCTTCTTAAACATCTGGCAATACTGTCCCAATTCCTTCCAGGCCATGAGCAGCTGGGACTGAGAGGCAACCACGCCCTCGGACCCATCCCCCACTTCACTCCCTTATCTTATGTCTGACTCTATAGGCATTCAGTTAATGATTCCTGACCTCCCCCAGCCCACCACCCTTGTACAGATAAGGAAATTGAAACCCAGGGAGATACGCATCTCGTTCAATGGCACCACTGCATTGTGACTGAGCCAGGAGTCTTTACCCCAAACCAAGCCAGACTCAAAGCCGCTGCTTCTTCCTTTATGTGGTCCCAGTTAAACTCCTGGCCTTGGCTCTCTGGGTAAAGAGAAAACATAATCCTAACCATCTTCATGACTGATTGGCAATATTTTCACTGTGACTTTTCCTCCAGAGACATGTAAAGATATCACCGTGAGTTTGTAAGATAATCTTTCCTTTAGAGTTCTGCTGTTCCTTGTCATTTTGCCCGTGAGGATGGCCTGTTGGCCGCACGGGGACGACAGTCAAGAGAGAACCGTGACCTTGTTTGCATTGCGTTGCTGATACACACGAGTCTTTGAAACAGGCCATCCATGAGCCTCACAACCTCCTGGCATAGCAGGTATTAATTACTGTTCACCACTTATTGGAGGAGGAAACGGACGTTCCAAGATATTAAATGGCTTGTTCAAGGTCACACAGCTCATGAACGACTGGTTCCAAAGCTCCCTGCCCTCTCCACCGCGCCTGGCCGCTCAGAGCCCATGATGAAGTGATTTGGGTAGAGCGAGGTCAGGCCACATCTGTTAACCAAGTAGCCAGTCCTGGGCTTAAAAATTATTTGTTTCCAACTCTTTTTCTCTTTTCCGTCCCCGTATTGACAGGAACAGCTGTCTTCTTTTTAAAAGGGCTACTTCCATCTCTTTCATTTTATTGTTTCCACGTCTTTGATTGTTTTGGAACAAGTCCGATGGTGGAGACGGAACAGGGAGATCACGAAGACAGCCTCTCCTTTAAAAAATGACCATGATCTCACGCCTCCTCCCAACCCAGTGGAAACTGGAGCACCGCTCAAGGAGACGCTGCTGTCACAGGATCCTGCTTACGGGCACGAAAGCTGGGAAATTTCAGAGCCAATCTGGGCCAGGGGAGGCTGGAGCTCGTGAGCTGGGCTGGAAATGATTCTTCCAGACTGCAGAGAAGACAGTGGCCTGCCCGCCGGCCGGCCTGCCTGCCCTCCCCGAGGCCAACAGGAAATCCCAGAATTTATAGATGACCCCGTTACAAGGCAAGTGTTTTGGAACAAATTGTTCTTCTTTTAAAGCCTTGTTTTCCACTAGTTTTTCTTTCTGGAGTCCAACCGCAACCCCCACGCCCCCCACCCCGCCCCACCCACCCACCCTTTCCACCTTCCCGGTGTCCTTGTTAAACCGGGGCCATGGCGCCACCTGCTGCCTGTCGTGGGCAGCGGGACTCTGCCGGGATCCGGTCTTGGGTCCTCCCCCCACCTCCCTTGTCCCAAAATGGGTGGGAGAGTGACTTTCTGGCTCCTGTCCCGAGGAGGGTTTGTATAAAGATCACGTATCAAGCCTCAAGAGAACTGCTTCCGTAGTTACGTGACCTAAAGACTCATGGCAAACTCTTCCCCCGTCACTTGTCCTCCAGGAGAGCCAGAGCTGGCTGGCAGAAAAGGCAAGTCAGATGGCATCACCATCCAAGGCCAGGTCTCCACTCCCTGAAAACCAAGTATGCCAGCTTTGAACAACCATGTCAACCCAATGAGCCTTGATTTCTTCAGTACCCTCTGTAGCCAATTTGCTAGGTGGTATGGAAAATGGATATGCGTGTGCCTGGCCCATGGAAGGGGCTTAATCAACGTCTGCATCCTTTCTCTCCTATTTGGAATATTCCTTATTGGGAAGGAATAGCTTGGAGGGTCTTAGAGGTGAAGGCCAGACCTCAGAAAACTGGTATATTTATCTCCTTATAAGAATGTAAGCTTCAGCACTTTGGGAGGCCAAGGCGGGCAGATCATCTGAGGTCAGGAGTTTGAGACCAGCCTGGCCAACATGGAAAAACTCCATCTCTACTAAAAATACAAAAATTAGCCAGGCATGGTGGTGCACACCTGTAATCCCAGCTACTCGGGAGGCTGAGGCAGGAGAATCGCTTGAACCAGGAGGTGGAGATGGTAGTGAGCCGTGTACCACTGCACTCTAGCCTGGTCAACAGAGCAAGATTCTCTGTCTCAAAAAAAAGAGTAAGCTTCAAGAGGGTAGGCCACCCCAGTGCAGATAACAAGCCTCAGCAAAGCAGTAAAGGAGCACAGGCTTGAAGTCCTTACACCCCAGCACCCGCTCAGGAGCTAAGTGACCTTGGGCAAGCTCAGTGTCCTTACTTGTGTCTGGGGATAGTAATAGTAATCATACCTCAAAGGGTGGCTGTCGCGCATTGAAATGAGAGAGGGCACGTAAATAATTTAGCAATGGGACTTGTAGGTAGAAAGTGTAGGATTGTAGAGACAACTCTAGCTATAATCATTATTATGAGATGACCACAGTGTCTGACATATAAGCATTTAATGAATATCTGAAAAACAAATGAATGAAAACCTCATAGAAAATAGGTCAGAAGACTTTGCTTAGTTCCATTTCAGCCACCAACTTGCTATGAGACATGAAATACCCCTGTGCCTGCTCTTCCCCATCCAGAAACCTTTCTTTATTGAGGATAAGACTCTCTGATCGGCACCTCAGTTTTCCCACCTGTCAAATGGGCACGACATTCATCTTACCTGTTGCTCAGAGATATGGAGGGGATCTGTTGAGGCATGTATGTGAAGCTGCTTTGAAAAGTTTAAAGAGTAGGCTGGGCATGGTGGGCTCATGCCTGTAATCCGGAACTTGGGAGGACAAAGTGGGAGGATCGCTTGAGTCCAGGAGTTTTAGACCAGCCTGGGCAACATAGTGAGATCTCTCTCTACATAGAAAAATACTTTTTTAAAAATAAAATTTAAAAATAAAGAGTAAAGGAAGGAAGGGAGTCTTTATTTTCTTTTAGGGTGGTTCCATGTGTCTGGTGGCTTTGCCCTTCCCTGAACGGGTGCCTGGGGCTCTCTGGAACAAATGGTGTCCCTCCTGACACCAAGTGGTAGTCATATCTGAGCCCCAACTCACTGGCAGCAACATCTGGTGAGTCTGACAATACAAACCCTAGGCAAATTAACTCCTTCACTACTGGCACAAGTTGAGCACACTCCAAGAGTGGGTTTCCTCTCTAGAAAAGCTCTTTTTCCAACCCAAAGGGCATAGGAAAGTGCATGGTGGGTCTCAGGCATGGTGACTAATTGGGGTGACTCACAGCTAGAGGGAGGTGGATCAGGAAGCAAGACTCAGGCCAACTTAGGCACTGTAGAGAGGTGTTTCAATCCAGTTCAGTGGGCCCTGGGGAGCCATAGAGGAGTCATAAGCAGGGGAGAAAGATATCCAGAAAGAGACTTCAGGCAACACCATGAGGGGTAACTGACAGCTAGGACTACAAAGCTCATCCTGTGCCATGCGGCCTAGAGTTAGGGTGACCAACTCTCCTGGTTTGTCTGAGACAAAGGGAGCATCTGGGACATAGGATCTTCAGTTTTAAAACAATGAAGTCCCAGGGTGACTTGGTCACCCTGTTCCAGTGTGAATAGCATCTCCTGGAGTTGTGCAATATAGTGACGTTGGCTCTGTAATCCATACTTCCCCGCCCCCCAACCTCCTCTCTCGCCCTCAAAAATACCGCTCTCCTTTGTCCCATTTCCTCTCAATTCTATTCTGCTGAGCTACAACTAGTTTAGCGGATTAACACATTGGAATGGATTGCATGCTTATCCCTTCCAGGTAATATTGTGCATTTAAACAAAGGTCTCCTGCAGATGATGTTTTAACCCAATGGAGTGACTCTGACAGTTAAACATTTAGCTCATGAGAGATGAGGAAGATTTGAGGGGTCAGTGGGGGAGTTTCCATGTCACCCACATCACATCCTGTCAGCAACTGTCTATTTTACCTTGCATGGAGTGGGCGCTGTCTTCCTGGATCTCAGCTCACCAGCCTGCCCTGCCAAGCAAACCTGCAGGAGCCTGAGCTGCTTAAATATTCTGTAAATAATGCTGACTCCAGAACTTTGAAGATAGACTCACAGAATCACAGCAATAGGATCACAGAATGTCAGAGGAGAAACAGATGCTAGACATCATACAGTCCAGGGTCAGAAAATACACTGCACTCACATTGCCTCTTCCCCCTGCTGTGCCCATGGCAGACATCACTAATCAATCATGACATTGTCTAGCTGAGCTTGTTTGGAGCCTTAGAATACTTTGAGGCATTCAGGGAAGCAGCTATCCATGATCTTGGATCTACTAATTGTAGCTAAGGTTTATTGAATACACTTACAACATTCTTTTTCCCACATCCTTTTTCATTATCATCACCTAAGTCACCGACTGTTTGCCAGGCACTTTATATCAGGATTTCTCAACTTCAGCATCACTGATTTTTTTTCTTTTCTTTTTTGAGATGGAGTCTCGTTCTGTTGCCCAGACTGGAGTGCAGTGGCACAATCTCGGCTCACTGCAACCTCCACCTCCCGGGTTCAAGCAATTCTCCTGTCTCAGCCTCCAGAGTAGCTGGGATTGCAGGTGTCCATCACTACAACCAGCTAATTTTTGTATTTTTGTAGAGACAGGGTTTTGCCATGTTGGCCAGGCTGGTCCTGAACTCCTGACCTCAAGTGATCTGCCCACCTTGGCCTCCCAAAGTGCTGGGATTACAGGCATGAGCCACTGCTCCTGGCCATCATCATTGGTATTTGGGCTGGATGATTCTTGGTGTTGGGAGGCTGCCCTGTAGGATGTTTAGCAGCATCCTTGGCCTCTATCCACAAAATGCCAGTAGCACCCCCTCCCCCTAAGCTGTAACAACAAGCACTGTCTCCAGACATCACCAAATATCCCCTTGGGTGTAGGAGTAGAGAGGGGGCAAAGTTGCTCCCGGTTGAGAGCTACCAGTTTCCAAATTATCTCTCATCTTCACCACATTCCTCTAGAGCAGATTTTTCTGGATTTTTATTTTACAGATGAAGAAACTGAGGCCAAGAAGGAGCTCAAGATGAACTGGTAACAAAAGCAGGATGCCGAGCTCCAGTTCCCCTCTTAGGCCGGGAAATTCCACTTGGTTCATTGTCTTCAGCAGCAAACTGCCCGGGGCAGGGGTTGGGGGGTGGGGGAAGACTAGAACCTGTGAGGCTGAGAAAAACCAGATGCCTGATGGATGCTTCCACATAGGACCAGGGCGCTGGAGGTAAATGGGGCCTGGTGCCGTGTGGCGAACGTTGAGGGCTCTTTCCCATCCTGCAAATGGCTCTGGGTGTGGAGACAGCCCAGGGAAGAGGCTGTCTGGGACCATATGGCGCTTGCCAGTGGCACTGAGGCTGTTAGAGACAGCGGTGGCAATCCCACTAATAATACTCCCTTCTCTCCAACATTGACAAGACTCTCCCCACTTCATGGGAAGCACATGAAATCTGGCCTTTTGCCTCCAGAGATTTGGGATTGAAAGCCTGACAGTTTGGACGTACAGCCCGTGGGCAATGTTACCCTTCTCCGGGGCTTGTGTCTGTGCCAAGAATTCCTAACAAAGGAAGAAAAGATTAATTAATTTAAAAAACCCATAAAAAATGCTCATGAAACTGACTAGTAAGAAACTGTCCAGTTTTTTTTTTTTTCCTTGGTAGCGATCAAAATGTCGCGAGTTTCTACACACATATTTTACAGACGTTCCATAAATCTTCCCGTGGTGCCTCTTCTCTATAAGTAAGGTCCCTTGGGAAGTCATTGAGGCTTCCTCACTACATGTATTCAAGAGAAAATTGGTTGTAACACTTAGAGAAGGCGGCTGTCCGGGAGGGGGAGGTAGGGGTGGGGAGTGTGGAGAAGCTAGTCCAAGTTCAGTTGCCAAGGACAGAGAGACAAGGAAGCCTCCTTTTCTTGGAAATTCCTGAAATTTCCAAACTGTCTTTTACTTCTCATGCACAAATAATCTCTTTGTGCTATCTTTTTTATCCTTTTTGTTTACTTATTTCTAATCGCCAGAGGGGTCATTCTTTCGCACAAAATCTGAAAAAGTAGACAGAAGTAGAAAGAAAGATACAACCAACCAAATAAACAAAAATCCCACGACAAATTCCAAGGTTTTTTTTTGTTGTTGTTTTTTTTTTTTGCTTTGTTGTATTTTGTTTTGGAAGGATTTTCCTGGGCAGTTTGACAGCACCGTTTCAGCGATGGGGGCCCAATGTTAGTGACAGTTCCGCAGGGAGCTTGTTAACATTGCAGAGTCCCCCAAGCCTGCACCCTTGAGAGTGGGAGTTTGTAGGTCAGGGGGGTTGGGTCCCCCAAATCTGTGTTTTTAATAAGCCCTTGGGTGACTCCGAGGAGGGCGGTCATCGGACCACACTTTGAGAAATAATGAGTTTCAGATTTTTCAGACCCTCAGCAAACCTGAGATGTGAAAATCCAGATTTAAAACAAAAATCGGGGGCTAATGATTTGTTTTCTGGAAGGGCTCGGCTTAAATAGGCATTTCCCTTAGTGCCGTTAACATATGATTCTGTTCACACTCGGTGATTCAGCGAGGCAGCCAGGACTTCATCTGCACCACTCTGGGCCAATACGGCATACCGCCACCTTTTTACCGAGCAGCGTTGACGCCCATCTGCTCAAATAAATTAACGTTTCCATCTCAAATAACTCATTTGGCTGGATCATTGAGGTTACACGCCAACCCGAAGAGGAAGGGGAGGAGGCAATACAGGGGAGGGGGAGAGGCAGGAAAGGCATTTTGCAACGTATAAGTTGCAAGTAATACCGTTGCATTTTTGTAGCCAGAAAGGAGGGGTGAGTAGATGAACACAGCTACTAGTGTAATTCACATGCACCCTTTTATTATCTGCTTTTCACGACTCCTACTGATGCTTCGGAGGAGGGTACAGCTTGCAGCTGGATTCGCTGATGGGCGCGATATTCCCTGTGCAAAGACACTGTGGAGTTTGTGTGAGCACATTGTGTGTGCATGGGCATGAGTGTGTGTATGGGGGCGAGGGTAAGGGGTGGAGGATTGTTCTGCAGAAGATCATGATGTTCAGTGAGACGTACAGAGAACACACAGAGGAGACAGCAGGTAGTTTCTTTCCTTTTTTTAAATGGACTTTATTTTTTACAACAGTTTTTGACTTTTATTTTGAGAGTTTCACTGCAAAATTGAGCAGCAGGTACAGAGATTCCCCATACACTTCCTTCCCGAAACATGTGCTGCCTCCACCACCATCAACATCCTGCCCCAGAGTGGTACATTTGTTACAGTTGATGAACCTACACTGACACATCCTTATCTCCCAAAGTGCAGTTTACGTAACTTTTTTTTTTTAGATGGAATCTCACTCTGTCACCCAGGCTGGAGTGCAGTGGTGCGATCTCGGCTCAGTGCAACCTCTGCCTCCTGAGTTCAAGCGATTCTCCTGCCTCAGCCCTCCCCCGAGTAGCTGGGATTACAGGCAAGCACCACCACACCTGGCTAGTTTTTGTATTTTTAGTAGGGATGGGGTTTTGCCATGTTGGCCAGGCTGGTCTGGCTCTCCCAACCTCAGGTGGTCCGCCCACCTCCGCCTCCCAAAGTGCTGGGATTACAAGCATAAGCCACCATGCCTGGCTGTAACTTTTTATTTTGAAATAATTTTAGAGTTACAAAAAAAGGTGTAAAATAGTGCAGGGTTCCCGTATAACCATCACCCAAGTTTCTCTACTCTTCACAGCTCACATAACCATCCTGCAATGATCAAAACCATCCAACATGGGTTCATTACTATTAACTAAAACTAAGCTCCTATTTTCAGGTCTCATTGATTTTTCCACTTATGTCTTTTTTTCTGGACAACAGATACTTTCAAGTCAGAGAGATCTGAGAGTGAATCCAGCTGTGTCACTCGAAAATTGTCCAAGTCAGATCGTCTCTCTGAGCCTTGATTTCCTCTCTGCAAAATGGCAGATAACAAGAGCTACTTAATAGGGTCCTTGTAAAGATGAAATAAAAACATGTGTGTCCAGAGCTTGGCACACAAGTAGGCACTGATGTTGGTTTTATTTTCTTACCCTCTTTCAAAGAACCATCCTCAAGGACAAATGGGCATTTGCGTAAATTCCTGTTGGACCAGTTTGACTTCATCTCAGCTGCTGGATCAAGTTTCTCTATTTTGGAAAAATAAAAGAAAAAGAAGAAGAAGAAAAGAAAAGGCCGTAGACATAGAGATTTATTAGGAAGCCATTGTAACAGTCCATGTAAGCTAAGTCTCCACAGTGGCTGCAGAGAGGTAAGAAGAGAAAAAGTTTCTTTTTTTTTTTTGAGATGGAGTCTTGCTCTGTTGCCCAGGCTGGAGTGCAGTGGCACGATCTGGGTTCACTGCAAGCTCCGCCTCCTGGGTTCACGCCATTCTCCTGCCTCAGCCTCCCGAGTAGCTGGGACTACAGGCGCCCACCATCATGCCCGGCTAATTTTTTGTATTTTTAGTAGAGACGGTGTTTCACTGTGTTAGCCAGGATGGTCTCAATCTCCTGACCTCGTGATACCCCCGCCTCAGCCTCCCAAAGTGCTGGGAGTACAGGCGTGAGCCACCATGCCCCGCCAAAAAGAGAAAAAGTTTAATAAACATCTGAAATGCAGAATAAAGAGGAGCTGATGACTGATTGACTGGGCAGAGTTAAATGGGAGGAACCAATAATTAAAAGACTACAAGTTGGAATGACTAGGAAACTGGTCATCCCTTTAAATGAGGTGAGCAAGAGAAAACCAGCTCCAGGCAAGAGAGACGTGAGAAACCATGATCCTAACCAGCACTTGTCAAGTCCCTGGTGCTCGTACACCACGCTTAGTACTTTCTAAGTGTGATTTCATTGAATTCATCTAAGAACCCAAGAAAACTGAGACACAGGGAAACTAAGTCACTTGCCCAAGTACTTTTGTTGGAAGTACTAATGTTGGAGGTACCTACAGGCAGGACCAACCACCTAATTTGTAGGGCTCACTGCAAAATGAAAATGCAGGGTCTTTTGTTCAAAATGTATGAAAATTTCAAGCCAGGCACAGCGGCTGACGCCTGTAATCCCAGCACTTTGAGAGGCCGAGACGGGTGGATCACCTGAGGTCAGGAGTTTGAAACCAGCCTGGCCAACATGGTGAAACCCCCTCTCTACTAAAAATACAATAATTAGCCGGCCATGGTGGCATGTACCTGTAATCCCAGCTACTCGGGAGGCTAAAGCAGGAGAATTGCTTGGACCCGGGAGGCAGAGGTTGCAGTGAGCTGAGATCGTGCCACTGTATGCCTGCCTGGGCAACAGAGCGAGACTCTGTCTCAAAATAAATAAATAAATAAAAAGAATTTCAAGACGGCTGACAGCAGAACATTACACCAAGCACATGGGCCCTGTGTGACTGCACAGTGGCAGGCCCACGAAGTCCATATGAAGGCAGACTTGAAGGTCGATTTTAAGAGGAGATGAGAGCTAAGGCAGAGCTTTGAGGGCAGGCTGGCACTCTGGGTCCCACAAAGAGCAACCAACAAAAGAAACCCACAAGGAGTCATCAGCAGGTAGGAGGAAGACTGGGAAGCACAGTGAGATCCACCAAGGGGCAAAAAGTGACACAAAAGAGGGAGGGGCCAGTGAAACCAAATACAGCAAAAGAGTTAGGAGCCTGAGGATTAAGATGCCCCATGATAAAAAAGACATCTTGCAGGCTTGCCTCGGTGGCTCACACCTGTAATCCAGCACTTTGGGAGGCCAAGGCGGGCGGATCACAAGGTCAAGAGATTGGGACCATCCTGGCCAACATGGTGAAAACCTGTCTCTACTAAAAATACAAAAATTAGCCGGCATGGTGGCACATGCCTGTAGTCCCAGCTACTTAGGAGGCTGAGGCAGGAGAATTGCTTGAACCAGGGAGGCAGAGGTTGCAGTGAACCGAGATGGTGCCACTGCACTCTAGCCTGGCAACAGAGCAAGACTCTGTCTAAAAAAAAAAAAAAAAAAAAAAAGACACTTACACTTGAAATGTTTACCACAGCACAATTCACAATTGCGGAGACATGGAATCAACCTAAGTGCTCACTAACCAATGAATGGATGGATAAAGAAAACGTGACATATATATACATGCACACACACACAGTGTGTATATACATGTGTGTGTATATATGTCACATGGTGTATATATATGTATATATATCATGTATATATTATATGCATATTATGTATATACCATGTGATATATATATATGCCACATGATATATATATATAAAATGAAATACTATTCAGCCATAAAAAAGAACAAAATAATGTATTTTGCAGCAACTTGAATAGAACTGAAAGCGATTATCCCATGTGAAGCAACTCAGGAATGAAAAACCAAATACCACATGTTCTCACTTCTAGTTGGGAGCTAAGCTAAGGGTACGCAGAGGCATAGAGTGGTATCATAGACACTGGAGACTCAGAAGCGGGGCGGGGATGAGGAATGAAAAATTACCTATTGGGTACAATGTACACTTTTCAGGTAACGGGTACACTGAAAGCCCAGATTTCACCGCTATACAATTCATTCACATTACCAAAAACTACTCATTCCCCTACAGTGATTGAAATTTAAAAACAAAAGGATGCCTGTACCTTTGGTGATTGAGACATTTCTGTTGGCTTTTGGGACCCCAACTCACAGGACTGGGCAGAAGTCAGGCTGCAACATACAGAGAACTTAATGGAAGTGAGCAGGCAGCCGAAGTAACCCAGGCTTTCTCATCTCAAGAAGCTCTTCCATTGCCAAGAACAGAGGGCAAGTTGATGTCACTACAAAAGTGATTTTTAAAGAAAGTCAAACCGCTTAAAGACTGCTTCTTATTTAGGCCCCATGGGTGCTAAGAAATGGCTTCCTCCTTTTTTTTCTTTTCCTCCTCCTCCCACTTAGCCTCACAAATGGTTGGCAGACTCTATCCTTAAATTGTGGCCAGGGACTGGAGCTGAAAACGCCTTTGAGGATTCTTCTGCAGCAACCACTAAAATCTCTGTCTGGAGATGCGAATGCTGCCTCTGAGGCTTCAGAACAGGCAGGGAGGCTCAGAACCAGCTACAGGCTACTTTCTTTCCTTTGTCTGGACAATTGCAACCAGGAAGGAGAAATCATCATAGGCTGTTTATTTGTAGACATTGGCTTGGCTGTTGGTCTCATTCTGAAATAAAGACACTAAAAGGGAAATAGGCAGACACCCCTGTCTTCCCCAGCCCAGGAGTTTCTACCTGGGCACTAATGACATTTAGAGCATGATGATTCTTTGTTTGCGGGGGACAGGCTGTCCTGTGCATTGTCTCTGGCCCTTGCCAGATGACAGCAGCACCCCCCACCCAATGTGACAACCAAAAATGCCTCTAGACATTGCCAAATGCCTCCTACAGGGGCAACACTGCCCCCTGTTGAGAACCACTGCTCTAATTGATTAGCATGTACACAGCGAGCTCCCATAAAAGGCTGAAAGGATGATTCTGTCCTTTTTTTTTTCTTTTGAGACTGAGTTTCGCTCTTGTTGCCCAGGCTGGAGTGCAATGTCACTATCTCGGCTCACTGCAACCTCTGCCTCCTGGGTTCAGGCGATTCTCCTGCCTCAGCCTCCCGGGTAGCTGGGATTACAGGCACCCACCACCGTGCCCGGCAAATGTTTTGTATTTTTAGTAGAGATGGGGTTTTACCATGTTGGTCAGGCTGGTCTTGAACTCCTGACCTCAGGTGATCCACCTACCTTGGCCTCCCAAAGTGCTGGGATTATAGGTGTGAGTCACTGTACCCGGCCAGGATGATTCTATTCTAAGAAGCTAGGAGAACATTCCAGATACTCCTCCAGAAACTACTCAGACTACCAAGCGGGTCAGCTCAAGAAGAGACCTAAGGCCGGACGTGGTGGCTCCTGCCTGTAATCCCAGCACTTTGGGAGGCCAAGGTAGGCGGATCACTTGAGCTCAGGAGTTCAAGACCAGCCTGGCCAACGTGGAGAAACCCCGTCTCTACTGAAAATACAAAAATTAGCTGGGCATGGTGGCGCACACGTGTAATCCCAGCTACTCGGGAGGCTGGGGCAGGAGAATCACTTGAATCCCAGAGGTGGAGGTGGCAGTGAGCCGAGATGGCGCCACTACACTCCAGCTGGCACAACAGAGCGAGACTTCGTCTCAAAATTTAAAAAATAAAAAGAAGAGAACTAAGGTTTGTCTTCCGTTAAACAAAGGCAGACCTTCTAAGCAAAGGTCTTCTGTGAAAAAGACTTTCTGGAATGTAGAGGGGGAAGGCTTACCCCTGGGGCAGTGAGGATTAAATGAAATAAGACAGGCAAAGTGCTTGGCAGAGGAGTATCAGATGGAAAGTGTTCATTGGTATTATTATTGTTATTATTATTCTATGTTCAAAAAACTGCTCATAGCTCTTCAAGCCTTAGAGGGTGCAAAAAGATGCTGCACAGCACGGCCACTCAGGAGGCAGAGCAACAACATTCCTGACTAGGAGAGTGTAGAGAAGATCAAATTTTGAGCAGAAAAGAACATTCGAGATTATTTGGATCAACCTTTCACTTTACAAGTAAGGAAGTAGGCTGGGCATGGTGCCTCATGCCTGTAATCCCAGCACTTTGGGAGGTCGAGGCAGGAGGACTAGGTGAGTATAGGAATTCGAGACCAGCCTGGACAACATAGCAAGATCCGGTCTCTATAGAAAAACAAAAATCAAGTAAGGAAGTAAAGTGGAAGTACACGGAGGTGGTGTGAAATGACTCGTCCAAGGTCACAGAGAGTGTTAAGGGTGGGCCTGGGGCCAGAGCTCAGGCTTCCTGCCCCACCCAGAGGCTATGTGTTTCCACTGCTTAGTCTGTCACCGAGGGGTGGATGGGAGGGTGGTGCCTCCTCCCTCGGTGTAAACCGGCTCCATGCTCACAGACCTGTTCCAGAGACCTTGCCGGTCAAAAATTCAAGTTCATGTACAGTATTTTTAAGAAATGTTTCCATAGAGATGGACAAATAATTGGAAACAATAATCCAGACAGAAAAGAACCACATTCATTGGAATAGGATGTATATAGCATGAGCTTGGGTGACAGTCCTGCTGACCTGGAGGGATGGTCAGAAAAGCCAGGCTGAGAGCTGGGAGATTCTGGGTTACAAGCTCACATTCCAGGACGGGAGCTTGATATCCTTTTTTTTTTTTTTTTAGATGGGCTCTTGCTCTGTTGACCAGGGTGGGGTACAGTGGTGTGATCATAATTCACTGCCACCTCGAATTCCTGGGCTCAAGCCATCCTCCCACCTCAGCCTCCCGAAGTGCTGGGATTACAGGCATGAGCCACCATGCCCGACAACGGAAATATATACATATATATTTTTGAGACAGAGCCTTGCTCTTTTGCCCAGGCTGGAGTGCAGTGGCGCGATCTCTGCTTACTGCAGCCTCTGCCTCCTGGGTTCAAGTGATTCTCCTGCCTCAGCCTCCCAAGTAGCTGAGATTACAGGCGCGTCACCACACCCACTCTGTTTTTAGTAGAGATGGGGCTTCACCATGTTGACCAGGCTGGTCTCGAACTCCTGGCCTCAAGTGATCTGCCCACCTCGGCCCCTCAAAATGCTGAGATTACAGGTGTGAGCCACCTCCCCCAGTCATGAAATCTTTTCATAGTCCTGTATGCACATCGATAACGCCCAGCCTATGAGTGCCCACTGAACAAGCACAGGCTGAGTCTTTCTGTACACCAGGCCTGGGGGAAGGTGACACAGTGATGACCCCTTTTCTTTCCCCCCCTTTTTTTTCTTTTTTTTTTGAGACAGAGACTCCTTCTGTCACTGCAACCTCTGCCTCCCGGGTTCAAGCAATTCTTGTGCCTCAGCCTCCCGAGTAGCTGGGACTACAAGCATGTGCCACCATGCTTGGATAATTTTTGTACTTTTTTTTTTTTTTTAGTTGAGGCAGGGTTTCACCATATTGGCTAGGCTGGTCTCGAATCCCTGACCTCAAGAGATCAGCCTACCTCAGCCTCCCAAAGTGCTGGGATTACAGGCCTGAGCCACCACACCTGGACTCCTTTTCCTTTTCCGGCTTCTAGAGGCCGCCAGCATTCTTTGGCTCCTGGTTTCTCCCTTGCATCACTCCAACCTCTTGCCTCTGTCCTCATACCTCCTCCTGCTGATGGCAGCACAGGCCCTGCATTTTCTAGCCAAGGGGCCCTTGGAAAGGAACTTAGCATCTCTGAAACTGTGTCCTTATCAGTGAGCTGGAGATGTCAGAGCGCCCACTTCACAGGGTTGATGGGACTGGGTCGAATGGGGTCTGTGTTAACGCTGAGCACTACGTCCTGCACACAATTTTATAATAGTAACGGTGATGATGATCGCCACCACTGTCATCCAACAGTCGTTTCTGTAGCTTGGAGACACAGATGGAGAGGTGACTTCTGCCTGAGGCATTAGGAAAAACTTTTTTTTTTCTTTTTTCTTTTTTTTTTTAGAGAGATACGATCTCTCTTTGTTGCCTAGACTGGAGTGCAGTATTGTGATCACGGCTCACTGCAGCCTCAAACTTCTCAGCTCAGGCGATCCTCCCGCCTCAGCCTCCCGAGTAGCTAGGACTACAGGCATACATAGGAAAAACTGTTTTAGAAGTGATTGCTGAACTGGCCCTGATCAAATGACAGTAAAGGAATGTGACCAATAGACAAGGGGTGTGCTGGACAGAAAAACAAGGACAGCAGAAGGCACGGGTGTTTGTAGAACAGGGAGGTCCCAAGTGGCCCAGAGCAGAAGGTCAGGGTCAGTGCCAGGAGGTGGGATAGATGGCAAAGGGATAGAAAGCTAGGGCTTTGGACTCAGACAGGCTCAAGTTCAAGTCCTGCAGCTCCACATAAGAGCTCTGCAAACTGGAGTACCTCGTTAGCTGCTCCTGCTCTGCCTTTGTGAAACGCTCATGGGAACAGTGCCTACCGCCTAGGCTTGCAGCAATTAAAGGCCGTTCTGATATGGGAGAGGCACAAGAGGCAGCTTGGAAAGGGCTCTGCGGGCCTGGCCAAGGAGTTTGCACTCTGCAGGGTCACGTCTTCGCTTTTCTTCTACTCTTCATCCCGTGTGCTCCATCCTTTTCCCTCAGACAACAGGAAGGCTGAGCACTGACCTTCCTCATCTTACGCCTGTCACTGTTCTCCTGAACTTAAAAATAATAGCTTTTGCCAGGCACAGTGGCTCATGTCTGTAATCCCAGCACTTTGGGAGGCCAAGGTGGGTGGACCACCTGAGGTCAGGAGTTCAAGACCAGCCTGGGCAACATGGTGAAACCCCGTCTCTACTAAAAATATAAAAGTTATCCAGGCATGGTGGTGGGTGCCTGTTATCCCAGCTACTTGGGAGGCTGAGGCAGGAGAATTGCTTGAACTCGGGAGGCAGAGGTTGCAGTGAGCCGAGATCATGCCACTGCACTCCAGCCTGGGCAACAGAGCAAGACTTCATCTCAAATAAATAAATAATTAAATAAACAAAAGAAAAAAGAGAAAGAAAGAAAGAAAAATAATAATAGCTTTCTTCACAGGTGGAAAAAATGTTATGAGACCATTGATCATCTGTAAAATGCGGGTAACAATGGCATTGACCTTATATGGTTGCTTTGAGGATTCACAGACAGAATGTGCAGAAGTGCCTGATGTTATAATGTGGGAGGCTAAAAGCTTAGGATCTGAAGTCAGGGGGACTGAGCCCGAATTGAAGCTATGTCACTTACTAGCTCTGTAAAGCGGGCAAGTGACTTAACCTCTCTGAGTCACAACTCCTTGTTTGTAAAATGAGGATGATAATATCAGCCACAGAGGTTCTTTGGCAAGCATACTAAGAGATCATCTAGGATGCACTCATTAACTATGATGATGATGGTGATGATGATGATGATGTCCTTTCTGTTTACATGTAAGACAAATTAGGCCCAGAGAGGGAAAGTGCCTTGCCCAAGGTCACACAGCAAGTTGGTGGTAATCCATCACACAGGCAGCTTCCTGTAGGATCTGCAGTCCAGGTGAATTCCCGGCATGAGTTCTGGGGACGGGAACCCGAGGCGGTACAAAGCATGCCCTCTCCCTAGGCTGTTTTCCTGTGTGAAGGGCAAGGTAGCATCCCCCACCTGCAGCCTATAAATCCGCACCAGTGGCCACTGCCTCCCAGGACTGTGTGGCTCTGCCTGCTGAGGAATCAGATGGTACCAGCAGACGGTCTCTCCATGCTACTGGAACCTGCATCGCGCCCATCATTTATTTTGGACAAGATGCAAGATGAGATATCAAAGGAATCAGCTGCTGGTCAGAGGAAATAGAAAAGGGGCCAGAACTCTGCCTGGCTCTGCTGGGCACAGAGTAAGCCCCCTCTCCCCTGCAAATCCGAATTAGGCTCCCCAATCTTAATCCAACTTTATTAATTGAAATTAAATCAATTCAAAGATAGAAGAGGCTAACTAGTTTCTTGGTTTCAAGCTTTTTGCTAAATATATATATATATATATATATATACATTTTTAAAAACTGGAGGTATTTATAGAATTAGAGTTCAGATTAGAGAGTTTCAAGTACCAGTTGAGGCCAATGGAAGTAAAGGGTCAGGAGTTCTGGCTCCCCACATTCAAATGAGCCAAGGGATGACCTCAAACACATCAGTTCGGGGTTTTATTTTTCCAACATGCTCTGCTGACTAATTGAGCTTTTCAGACCTCTCTGGAACAGATGCTGGTGTGAATAAAGCCTCCCTTTGCTCGAGGCACAACAGAAACACCCCCTAATGCCCAGCCAACGCGCCCACAAGATTTCAACTATTATTCAGGCCAACAGGAGGTATTGCAATTAAGAGATGATTGTCACCAACCCTCTTTAACAGCAAGCATGTCCAAGACGGAGGCTCCGGGGGAGGGTGGCTCTCGGGGGCCACCATCGTCAGGGTTGGCAGGTTTCCACCCTGGGAGTGAGTGACCAGGTCATGGGTGGATTGACACACAAATATTTTCTTTGGCAGATGGGACACAGTGAAAACAAGGTGAGGAGACCCAGGATAAGAGGTGCCCCTAAGTCTCCCGTCCGTTTCCCTCTCTGTAAAATGGACATCTCCAGAAACCAGCACTCTAAGTTTTAATTTAATTAATTAATTAATTTATTTATTTATTTATTTATGTTTTAGAGACAAGGTCTCACTCTGTTGTTGTCCAGGCTGGAGAGCAGTGGCGCTATCATAGCTCACTGCAGCCTCCAACTCCTGGGCTCAAGGGCTCCTCCTGTCTCAGCCTCCCGAGTAACTGAGACTATAGGTATGTACCACCACACCGGGCTACATTTTTTATTTTTTATAGAGACAGGGTCTCCCTATGTTGCCCAGGCTGGTCTCAAACTCCTGGTTTCAAATGATCCTCCCGCCTCAGTCTCCCAAAATGTCAGAATTACAGGCATGAGCCACCACGCCTGGCCCCTCCCAGTTTTAAAATATTGAAGAGCCCTCAAAGAAAATCAAACCAGCTGTGTCTCAGAGGTATAGGATCCTTCTGGCAGCTTGCAGACTGTAAAGAAGTTCAAAGAAACTCTGGTTGTTCCACTCTGGTTGTGGAAGTCATATTGGTCACTAGGATCTGAAAACATGTAGCTGAGAAGGGCTGAAGGGAATGGCTGAAGACCAGCGGGTGTGAATTGTCTTTCACCAACGGGAACTAGCAACCTTTTGTTCCATCAGTTTTTCATAGGAAAATTAAAAGGTTATCATGGGAAGCCCCCCTCCCCAGCAATCAATTACTATTGTTAGGATGAATAACAATAGACTTGCCCTCCACTTCAGCCTGTCCAGGATTCAGAAGTGCTTTTTGAATGCTAGTCCATTCATCCTCACGGTAACCTTGGAAGCATTCCATTAGGCAAATTCTGTATTACTTTTGCCTCTACAAAATATGTAGTGCCATTCTCTTGATGGAAAAATTAATCAAGCTATGATCTGAAAAGAATAATAATGGGGAGAAAATCCTGGGGGTGGTCTGAACTCACATGGACAGTTTGAATAACTCCAGACTTCAAATGTTGTACCTAGACCTCTGCCGTGGTGGGGAAGTGTTGATTTTGAAGGGTCAGGGCCCAGAAGCACCTTCTGATGGTCTGAGCACCAGGAAGCCTTTAGGTTCACTGAGTTTGCGTCTCCTGAAATAATATTATTTATTATTCTTGGCTGTGCCGCTCACTTACTGAATGACTTTAGGGAATCATTCTAACCTCTCCACTTTCCTCGTTTGTAAATGGGTTAATTATATTTGCCCACCTCACAGAAGTGTTGTGCAGATAAAACAATGAAAGGTGAAACAGAAAGGCCCTTTCCTCATTCAGTGGGCTGCCTGAGAATTCCTAACTCTGCATGCAGTGAAACAGCTAAATGCCTTTACTTACATGGATGGTTATAGTCCTGGCTGGCAATCACCAACTGGCGATTAGCTCTGCAATCAGCAAATTTAGTGCCAGGCTGGGGGGACCTGGGGCGATGCAGGACTGGAGCGCGAGTCCCAACCCTGCCAGTTCCTGGCTGTGTGACCTCGGGTAAGCCACCTAACCTCTCTGAACCCCTGTTTTCTGCTCTACGAACTGGGAAGACCTATACCCATCCCTTTAGGGTTGCTGTAAGGATTCAGTGAAACTCCTGGCATTTAATCGGTGCTTGATAAAGGACGCATATTATGAGGGCCTGTCATTTTCCATCAGGCCTAACAAACTTAATGAAGTGCTTACAAAATGTGCAGTACTTGTACCACTGATGGGAAACAAGAAGAGGGTTTTAGGCAATACGTGGAATTTCTTAGATATATGGAATTAGGGAACATTAGAAGGAGGACATCAAACTTGTGATTTTAACACTGTTAGTGATTAGAATGAGGCTAAGTTGTTAGAACATGAGTTAATTACAAAATTATAGTGAATAAATCATTGTATTGGTGTACATGGATAGGGTAAAAAAAATTTTTTTTGAGACAGGGTCTTGCTCTGTTGCCCCGGCTGGAGGACAGTGGCATGATCTCGGCTCACTGCAACCTCTGTCTCCCGGGTTCAAGCAATTCTCCTGCCTCAGCCTCCCAAGTAGCTGGAATTACAGGTGCCCACCATCACATCCAGCTAATTTTATTTTTTGAGATGAGTCTTGCTTTGTCGCCCAGGCTAGAGTGCAGTGGCATGATCTCTGCTCACTGCAACCTCCGTCTCCTGGGTTCAAGTGATTCTCCTGCCTCAACCTCCCAAGTAGCTGGGATTACAGGCGCCCCCATCACACCCAGCTATTTTTTTTTTTTTTTTTTTTTCAGATATAGTCTTGCCGTGTTGCCCAGACTGGAGTGCAGTGGTATGATCTCGGCTCACTGCACCCTCCTCCTCCTGGGTTCCAGCAGTTCTCCTGCCTCAGCCTCCTGAGTAGCTGGGATTACAGTTGTGTGCCACCACGCCTGACTAATTTTTTTTGTATTTTTAGTAGAGACGGGGTTTCACCACGTTGGCCAGGCTGGTCTTGAACTCCTGACCTCAATTAATCCACCCACCTTGGCCTCCCAAAATGCTGGGATTACAGGTGTGAGCCACTGTGCCTGGCCTTGTTAACAATTTTTAAGTGGTACGTGAAATACCTCAACATTCCCTATGACAGCATATGGAAAAAAGCGCTGGGCTAGTGGCAGATTCTGACCTTAGGTTTTCACATTTATCAGTCATGTGACTGTGACCAGGCCCCTACATCTCTCTGAGCCTCAGTTTCCCATGTATAAAATGGGCTAATAAGACCTAGGAGAGTAAAAATAAGATAATAAAAATGAAAGCCACTGGAAAATTGCAAAAGTATGGTCCAATCTAAGAGGTTCATTGTTATCCCTACTGTGTGGTTTGACAGAAATGATCCATACTTATCCGCCAGCCTATGAGACAATAGCAGGGATGACATTCAAAATCAAGGATGGTTCAATCCCAACTCTGCCAGGCATCAGCCTGTAGCCTTGAGCAGCTTCTTTAAGGTCTCTGAGCCTCCATTTCTTCATCTATAAAAAGGGGTTAGTAATAACACCCTTAGCAATTCAACTCAAAGGGCTAAAATTTTCCTCTAAGGAATGACAAATTGAAGGAAAAGCCCAACAGCCCAAAGAAAAACGGTGTGAAAAGATAGTGTACCCAAAATAAAATACAAATGGCTCTTAAATATGTAAACACATCCTCAGTCTCACTCATAAGAGAAATGCTCATTAAAATCACACTGAGGCAGGGCATGGTGGCTCGTGCCTGTAATCCCAGCACTCTGAGAGTCTGAGGCAGATGGATCGCTTGCGGTCAAGAGTTCCAGACCAGCCTGGCCAACATAGTGAAACTCCATCTCTACTAAAAATACAAAAATTAGGCAGATGTGGTGATGCATGCCTGTAATCCCAGCTACTTGGGAGGCTGAGGCAGGAGAATCACTTGAACCTAGAAGTGGAGGTTGCAGTGAGCTGAGATCATGCCACTGTACTCGAGCCTGGGTGATAGAGACAAAAAAAAAGAAAGAGAAAGAAAGAAAAGAAAAGAAAAGAAAAGAAAAAACTGAGTATGATTTTTTTAATCATTAAATTTGCAAAGAATTGGTTTGATAGAGATGTATTGGTAAAGTATGGGAAATGAAGGTGCCTAGATATTGATGGCGGGGAGGTAAATTGTTACAAACTCTATGAAGTGAAATTTACAGTTTCTCAAAAGTATAAAAGTGCATACTCTTTGAGGCAGGCTGAATCATGGTGTCCACATTCTAATCCCTGGAATGTGTGAGTGTTACCTAAGTGACAAAAAGGACCTGGCAAATGTGATTAAAGCAAGAATCTTGACATGGAAGGGTCATTCTAGGTTGGCCCAGTGGGTCTGATGTCATCACAGGGGTCCTTGTAAGAGGGAGGAGGGAGGTCAGAGAGGAAAGGTGATGTAATGACCGAGCAGAGGTACAGGGAAGTCCTTTGAAGATGAAGGCAGGGCCCACAAGCCAAGGAAGCTGAAAAAGACGAGGAAACAGATTCTTCCCTAGAGCCCGTGGGAGGAACCAGCCCTGTCCACACCTTGATTTTAGCCCAGTGAAATTTTTTTTAGACTTCTGACCTCCAGGACTGTGAGAGAATAATATGCGTTGTCTTGGGCCACTTTGTTTGTGGTCCTTGGTTAACAGCAGCCACAGGAAACAGATACCCTCTTTCTCCAAGCAATTCCACTCCTAGAACTTCATCCGACAGAGACACTGGGACAGATGCAAAATAACTACATACAAGCTTCTTCATTAAAGCAGAAATTGTAGAAGCCAAACACTGGAACCAAGCTAAATACCCAACAGGGATTGGTCAATAAAGCTGAGTACCTCCATGGAAGGGAGGGAAGGAAGAAGGGAGGGAGTAAAGGGAGGAACAAAGGAAAGGAGGAAAGGGAAGGGAAGGAAAAGAGGAAAAAACAAATATGCTTGTAATTCCAGCACTTTTGGAGGCCAAGGTGGGAGGACTGCTTGAGCCCAGGAGTTGAAGTCTGCAGTGAGCTGTGACTGTGCCACTGCCCTCCCGCCTGGGCAACAGAGAGAGACGCTGTCTCTAACTAAAAAATACGAATTAAAAAAAAGAAACAAATAGGTTTTCTAGATTTTTAGCCCAGCAGTGCAGGCTCAAAGGCCCTGGGTCCCTGGCTGCAGGTTCCCTGAAGGTGGGACAGTGAGGATGAGAGAATGTGATGCCTCTGAAGTTAGGTCATCACTGAGCTCAGTCTGGTTTTCTCCCTTTCATCCTGGGCAGGGTCCACCTAGGCGTGGCTTTCCTGTCCCTCCCAGCACTTTAGAGTGGATATCTGCAGGCTAGTTGTCCTGTTGATAAATCGGGGTGGGTTGTGACCTCATGTTGTCTATCAGGTTCAAGTCAATTCAAGACATGCTGCCTCTTTCCTGCTGCACTAAACCTAGCAAGGTGACGCCCCTCTAACACGCCTTCCCTCCGCCAACCCCACATCCAGCATTTAAATTGCAGGAAGATCACCATTGTGACAGTAGATTTCCAGCTGACACCCCCAGGGTAAGCACTAAGGAGCTCCCTAATTATCTAATCCTGAGATGCCCATGGGTGAAGCCGAGTGGAGCTCTTCTCTATCAGTAAACACGACATGCAGTTCTTTGTCTTCAGTGCAAAGCAAGGCTTTTTCCTGCCATGTGAGGAATACTCCTGCGTGATGTATTAAAATCCCTCAAAGAGAGAGAAAGAGGAAAGTAAAATAAATGTATTTCCATGACTCTAAGTACAAATCCCTGTGCGAGGCCCCGTGTGATCCTCAGAGCTGGGCTGGAGCTATTTTAAAACGAATGAAGCAAACCTACTCGATTGAAAAATCCTCTGTTACAGGATAGAGATGGGTAAGAAATCAGCGCCGGGGCTCTCGGAGTGCTTGATTATGGTTATAAACATTACTAGCTGCATCAGCAAAGCTGCTGGGAGTCCACCATAAACCTTTTGCGAGAGGAATCAGGAGGCAGGGCTGACCAGGCAAGTTCAAAACCTGAGCCCGTGTTACTCGGAGGCTTCCTAGGCTGCTAAAAATATCCAGTGATCTGCCTAAAGCAGGGGCAAGTGAGGAAAGCCTTTCTTCCCGCTGCCTCCTTGTCACCTGCAAGAAAAGGAGCCAGTTAAGGGGTGACAGGGGAGGAGGAAAATCCAACAGATACACAGAGCAGCGATTTTTGCCATGTGCATTGCTGCACAGCAGGGTGGCAGAGGTGTCTTCCTACGCTGAAGGAGCTCAGGGGAGGCCTCAGCCTGGACTTTAGACCAGAGAGAAAGTGGGTTCAAATCCCAGCTCTGCCACTGACTCATTTGCATGGTCCTCTACCCAAGACAGGGGACTTTATAAGCCTCAGTCTTCCCATCTGTAAAATGGAAATAATAATGCCAACACGTGAATTGTAAGCTTTAAAGATAACATGTGGTAAGTGCTGGGCTCAGAGCGGGTCCTTTCCCAATGGCAGCTGTTATTACTGCTGTGACAACTTAGTGGGGAGAGACAGATACATAAAAGCAATGGAGGCTGAGCATGGTGGCTTGCACCTGTAATCCCAGCACTTTGGGAGGTCGAGGTGGGTGGATCACCTGAGGTCAGGAGTTCAAGACCAGCCTGGCCAACATGGTGAAACCCTGTCTCTACTAAAAATACAAAAATTAGCTGGGCATGGTGGTGCGTGCCTGTAATCCCAGCTACTTGGGAGTCTGAAACACAAGAATCCCTTGAACCCAGGATACAGAGGTTGCAGTGAACTGAGATCACATCACTGCACTCCAGCCTGGGTCACAGAGTGAGACTCTGCCTCAAAAAAAGAAAAAAAAATGGGAAATCAAACAAGCAAGGAGGAAAACTGCACACAACCCCAGGTTGTGTATGGTTTGGACATAAGCATTGGAAAAATTCTCAGAAAGGAAAGGTTCCCGCCAAGTCCTCACCTGATCTTCAGCCCATAGAAATCTCCCCTAAGCTTCCAAAGCCAGGGAAATGCTAGATTTCCTCAAAGCCTGTCCAGATGTGCCAGTGGTTTGTTCTTCCTTTGCAGCATGGTTGCAATATTCAACCACTCAGCGTGTGTAGAACTGAATGGCATCATTCCCTCTCTGTATGCCCAGGCGACTCTCAAATGGCAGGTGTGTAATAAATGACTAGGTCAGGGCACTTGAGTAGTTAGTGAGAAATACACTGAGTAGAGAAGGCAGAGAGACTCTAATTGATGTGGCATGTGTATGTGTCAGCATTCAATCAGAGAGGCTGGGCCACCATACATATCTGTGCACTTATACATATATGTGTGTGTGTTATAGAGATTTGACCTTACATGATTGTGGGAGTCTCTGTAAAGCTGCTGTCTTTGCTCCTGATGCTGGAGCCTGAAGTCCTCAGGGCAGGCATTTGGAAAGAGAAGAGGAATGTTATTCAGACACCAACTAGTATACTGCAATTTGATTCTGACACTAGGCATTTGAAGTTAGTGTCAGATTCCACAATCTTAAGGGCGTGGTTGCCAACAAGACTGTCCTACTTCAAATACTAGCCACAGTGGGGTCCTCAGGCCACCTGCTCTTCTGACCAAATGGCTACAAAGCTTAGGGGAGGTTCCCACAACCCCCTTTATATTCACTAATTCATTAGAACAGCTCACAGAACCTAAAAAAGCACCATACTTGACAGTTTTATTGTAAGGATACAAATCAGAACCAGCCACATGAAGAGACACATAGGGCAAGGTTTGGGAGGGTCCTAAATTCAGGGCTTCCGTGCCTCTCCCCATGGATTCGGGGTACACAGCCCCTCTGGGTATATTTATGTGTTCACCAACCAGGAAGCTCCAGTTAGCTTCAGTGTGCAGAGTTTTTATTGGATTTCTTTATGTAGGCATGATTGATTGAGTCACTTGCCATGTGATTGAACTCAATCTCCATCTCCATTCCTTCCCTAAAGGGCAGGCTGACTCAAAGTTCCAACTCTTCTCATCATGGAGTGGTCTTATTGGTGACCAGCCCCCATTCTGAGTCTTCTTATCTCTTAGCGTTAACTCAGGTGTGGTCCAAGAGGCTCATGAAGAACAAAGACACTCCTATGACATGAGAAATTCCAAGGATTTAAAGTCTCATTCCTAGAAACCAGAGGTAAAGGCCAGTCAAATTCTTTATTATACAACAGATGCCAAGTCAGGCAGTGCAAGAACTTGCTGGAAGACCAGGAGGACTGGCAGAAGCCTGTGGATATTTACTATGGACTGAAAGTTTATGTCCCCTCAAAATTCATATGCTGAAACTCTAAACCCCAGTGGGATAGTATTTGTCAATAAGACATTTGGGAAGTGATTAGGTCGTGAGAGTGGAGCCCTCTTGATGGGAGTAGTGCCCTTATAAGAAGAAAATGAGGCTGGGTGCAGTGGCTTATGCGTGTTATTCCAGTGATTTGGGAAGCCGAGGCAGGTGGATTCCTTGAGCCCAGGAGTTTGATACCAGCCTAGGCAACATAGTGCCTGTCTCTACAAAAAAAAACAAAAATTAGCCAAGCGTGCTGGTGCACACCTGTAGTCCTAGCTACTTGGGAGGCTGAGGTGTGAGGATTGCTTGAGCCCAGGAGTAAGAGATTGCAGTGAGCCAAGATCATGCCTCTGCACTCCAGTCTTGGCAACAGAGCAAGACCCTGTCTCAAAAAAGAAGAAAGAAGAAGGTGAGGCTGGGCGCGGTGGCTCACGCCTGTAATCCCAGCACTTTGGGAGGCCAAGGCAGGCGGATCACCAGGTCAGGAGATCGAGACCATCCTGGCTAACACGGTGAAACCCTGTCTCTACTAAAAATGCAAAAAAAAAAAAAAATTAGCCAGGCGTGGTGGCAGGCGCCTATAATACCAGCTACGCAGGAGGCTGAGGCAGGAGAATGGCATGAACCCGGGAGGCGGAGCTTGCAGTAAGCCGAGATCGTGCCACTGCACTCCAGCCTGGGCGACAGAGCGAGACTCCATCTCAAAAAAAAAAAATAAGTAAACAAACAAAAGAAGAAGGTGAAGGAAGAAGGAAGAAGGAGAAAGAGAATGAAGAAGGAAGAAGGAGAATGAAAAGAAAGAAGATAGGAAGAAGGAGGAGGAGGAGGAGGGAGCTTGCTTTTTCTCTCTGTGTTCTCCACTGTGAAGACTCAATGAGAAGGTGGCTGTCTGCAAACGTAGAAGAGAGCCCTCACCAGAGCCTGCCCATGCCAGCTTCCTGATCTTAGACTCCCAAGCCTCCAGAACTGTGAGAAAGATGTTTCTGGCAAGTAATGCTAGCACTTTAGGAGGCGGAGGCAGGCGGATTGCTTGAGCCCAGGAGTTCGAGACCAGCCTGGGCAATGTGGCAAAACCCATCTCTACAAAAAATATAAAAATTAGCTGAGTATGGTGGTGCCCACCTGTAGTCTCAGCTACTTGGGAAGCTGAGGAGGGTCACTTGAGCCCAGGAAGTCGAGGCTGCAGTGAGCCATGATAGTGCTACACTCCAGCCTGAGTGACAGAGTGAGACCCTGTCTCAAAAAAAGAAGAAGAAGAAGTCTGTGTTGTTTAAGCCACCCAGTCTACAGTAATTTGTTCTAGCAGCCCACACTAAGCCACTGTTGTTGTAGCCTCTAGTATTACTGGTGTGGGTATCCTGAGGAAGCTGCGGCCCTTTGTTGTGGAGACGAACACGCACACCTGGCCCGGGAGCTGGAGCAGCTGGAGGGTCCAGGGAAACGTGCAGCATTTGCAGATCCTGGCTCCTGCCTCAAACCAACAAGAGGAGCCAGCAGATATGCCGTGATGTCTGTGAGCCTCAGAAGGGCTGCTGCTTCAATTCCACGCTCCAGAATCTCCACACGTGCTTATCTTGTGGCCACCTTTGCCAGAAACACACAGGGAAGGGTATCCTGGGAAGTACAGGTGAGCCCAGCCAAGGCAACATAGAACAAAGCCACCATGTCAGTGTGGGAACAGGGAGAAGCCGATGTGAAAGCAAGTTCAGCCTGAATAGTCGCGGTGGAAAGAGGAGAGGAGCCACCACGGAGTGAATGAAGGGATGGAAGGAAAGGTGTCTCTAGAACTACCGTGGAGCTCCGTTACTCCAGGACAGCACTGACTGCTCCCTGAGTCTTTTTATTTTTATTTTATTTTATTTTATTTGAGACGGAGTCTTGCTCTGTCGCCAGGCTGGAGTGCAGTGGCTCCATCTCAGCTCACTGCGACCTCCACCTCCTGGGTTCAGGCAATTCCCCTGCCTCAGCTTCCCAAGTAGCTGAGACTACAGGTGCGTACCACGACGCCAAGCTAATTTTTGTATTTTTAATAGAGACAAGGTTTCACCATATTGGCCAGGTTGGTCTTGACCTCAAATGATCCACCCACCTCGGCCTCCCAAAGTGCTGGGATTACAGATGTGAGCCACCGTGCCTGGCCTCCCTGGCTCTTTTTAAAGCATGCAGCTACCCCAGGAGGGGACGTCACCAAGACAGACCACAGAGTCTAGAGATTTCTGGCATTTTCCTGCCTTTTTTTTTTTTTTTTTTGAGATGGTGTTTCACTCTTGTTGCCCAGGCTGGAGTGCAGTGGCACGATCTCAGCTCAATGCTACCTCCACCTCCTGGGTTCAAGTGATTTTCCTGCCTCAGCCTCTCAAGTAGCTGGGACTACAGGCGCCCACCACCACACCCAGCTAATTTTTTGTATTTTTAGTAGAGATGGGGTTTCACCATTTTGGCCAGACTGGTCTCGAACTTCTGACCTCAGGTGATCCGCCTGCCTCAGCCTCCTACAGTGCTGGGATTACAGTCATGAGCCATTGTGCCTGGCCATTTTCCCTGTTTTTAACTTGTTTTATTACCCCTCTTTGACGCAAGCCTCTGACACATGAAAACAAATATTGATTGTGCCATAGTCTATAGAATCGAATTATTTTTTGGACTGTGTTTCATTCTTTTTTTTTTTCTTTAGAGACAGGGTCTTGCTCTGTTGCCCAGGCTGGAGTGCAGTGACACAATCATAGCTCACTGCAGCCTCAACTTCCTGGGCTCAAGCGATCCTCCTGCCTCAGCCTCCCCAGTAGCTGGGATTACAGGTGCTCACCACCACACCTGGCTAATTTTAAATTTTTTTGCAGAGACAGCTATGTTGCCGAGGGTGGTGTCGACCTCTTGGCCTCAAGCGATCCTCCCACCCACCTTGGCCTCCCAGAGCACTGGGATTACAGGCATGAGCCACCAGGCTGGTCCTGGACTGTGTTTCTATAAAAAGCCGGAAGCACACCCAGGGGTGCTCCCTTTGATGACTTTGCATCTTTCTCCCCAGATCCACCCACCTACCCCATTAGGGCTTGTTAGATACAAGGACTTAACACAAACACAAGCTGGGGACAGCCTGTGAGTCTTGATTCCTGCAGGCACCCAGGAAGTATGGGAGCTTTCCTGCTGCCTCCTCCAGTCATTCCTCTCAGCCCTTTCATGGCCTGGTAGCACTTCTGTCAGAGAGGAGCCGAGGCTCAAAGCAGCCCATTTCATTACTGAGAAGCCAAGCCCACTTACAGAAAGAGGATGGAGGGGTGATGGGAGGTCAGGAGCTAAAATGATGCTTATCAGTTATTCATTCTCTCCCATTATTCATTCTCTACATATCTGGGAATAATTAAGATATTTTAGAAAAAAGTAAAATAGATGGTCGGGCACAGCGGCTCATGCTTATAATCCCAGCACTTTAGGAGGCCAAGGAGGGAGGATCGCTTGAGCCCAGGAGTTCAAGACCAGCCTCTGCAACATAGCAAGAGCCTGTCTCAATAAAAAATCAATTAGCTGGGCACGATGGTGTGCACTAGTAGTCCTAGCTACTCAGGAGGCTGAGGTGGGGAGGACCGCTTGAGGCCAGAAGTTTGAGGTTGTAGTAAACTATGATGGTACCACTACACTCCAGCCTGGGCAACAAAGCAAGACACTGTCTCTTTTAAAAAAAAAAAAAAAAAAAAGGAAAAAAGGAAAGAAAGTAGACACAGAAGAATACTCTGGGAGAATTGATAAGCTACTAAGGAACAGGTATATTGGTCCTATATGTTCTCAGATTTTCAGGAATTATTAATTTCAAAATTCCATCTTGTTGCTGGGAGAAAGATCTTTATTTTTGCTTAGAAAATATGGTCAAATATCTCTACACGAGGGCCGGGCATGGTGGCTCACACCTGTAATCCCAACACTTTGGGAGGCTGAGGCAGGCAGATCACTTGAGGCCAGGAGTTCAAGACCAGCCTGGCCAACATGGTGAAACCCCGCCTCTGCCAAAATTATAAAAATTAGCCATTGTGGCACACGCCTGTAATCCCAGCTGTCTTCTTAGAATAAGAAATTGTCATGACAGGAATCCCACCTCCTCCATGTTTTAGAAAACAGAATGAAAATTCCCACGCTCTCTTGTGGGCTTGTGACCCAGAACCCAGGCACGTGGTGAGTATAGAAGGGCCATTTTCATGGGCATGGGTGAGGATGGAGCCCCCAGATGCACGTGGCCACGATGGCAGCCCCAGTGGTCCAAAGGATGCCAGGTCGAGGTGTGACATTTGTGCTGGGCATTGTGAGAACCTGGTATTTAGTGATTAGCAGGGGCAGCAGCGGCAACAGAGATTTTGGCCTCAGGCGCCTTGGCAGGCACTGCTGTTTTGGGTGGGGATGCTGCTCTTGAAGGCTTAATTTCAAGTCTGACTCTCTCTAGTCCTCACTGCACCCCACCCAGATAATTTTGTGAGTGAACTCACTTCCTTGAATACATAAATCCCTTTTCTGCTTAGAAGAGCCAGAGTGGATTCTGTTGTTTACCCTAAGAACAGACTACTATGCCCCTCTTCAATTTGATCTCTAGTCGGGTCAGAAGTCAAAGCGATCTTTTATTTTTATTTATTTGCTTATTTATTTATTTATTTATTTATTTATTTATTTATTTATTTATTTTTGAGACAGAATCTCGCTCTGTCGCCCAGGCTGGAGTGCAGTGGCTGGATCTCAGCTCACTGTAACCTCCGTCTCCCCGGTTCAAGCAATTCTCCTGCCTCAGCTTCTCTTGAGATTACAGGTGCCTGCCAACTCGCCCAGCTAATTGTTGTATTTTTAGTAGAGATAGGGTTTCACCATGTTGGCCAGGCTGGTCTCGAACTCCTGATCTCAGGTGATCCACCTTCCTCGGGCTCCCAAAGTGCTGAGATTACAGGCATGAGCCACCGTGCCCGGCCTATTTATTTATTTTTAGACACAGGATCTCACTCTATCACCCAGGCTGGAGTGCAGTGGCACAATCATGACTCACTGCAGCCTCGACCTCCTGGGCTCCAAGTGATTCGCCGCACCTCAGCCTCTGGAGTAGCTGGGATTGCAGGCTTGCATCACCACACCTGGCTAATTTTTAATTTTTTTTTTTTTTTTGTAGAGATAGGAGTCTTGCTATGTTGTCCAAGTTGGTATCGAACGCCTGGCCTCAAGCAATCCTCCCATTTCAGCCTCCCAAAGCGCTGGGATTACAGGCATGTGCCACCATGCCTGGCCCACAATCATCTTGTAAAAACTGCAGTCACCCAGCATCGCTCACCTCTGGGTCACGGCGTTGCTGCTCAGCTCCACAGCCTCATCCCATCTCACGCTGCCGCCGGCTCTCTCTGCTCCAGCCACGCTGCCCCTAACACAAGTTTTCTCCCATCCCAGACTTGGTACCAACTCTTCTCTCTGCCTAGAGAGTTTCCCCTTCAGTCCTTTCCATGGCTGACCCCTGGATCGCAGCTTCAATGTCTCCACCTCCAAAAGGCTTTCCTGGACCTCCCATAGCTAAAGAGCATAGCTCCCTTATTATTCCCCGTTTTACCACCCTGTTTATTTCCTTGGGAATATGCACCCCAATCTGAAATTATTTTGCTTATTTAATGTTTATAGGCTGTCTCCTTCACTAGATTACACTAGATTACAGACTCTGGAAGGGCAGAGATCATGTTTCCTCATTAATGCAGGATCCCCAGACCAAGCACCCTGCCTGCTCCATTGTAATAACACAATAAATATCAGTTAAATGAGTGCATTAGAACAACACTAGCATTTATTGAGCACCTTTGTGCTGGAACCGATTTAAGTGCTCTATGCACAATAAATCCTCACAATAATCCTGTCAAGTAGGTACTATTATTCTCCTTATTTTACAGATGAGGAAATAGAGCCCAGAAATGTTAAGTAATCTGTCCAAGGGCACACAGCTAGTGAAAGAGAGTGTGGACCCAGATAATCTAGGTTGAAAGTCCATGGTTTCAACTAGGGCTGTCTCATAGAAAGGAAGGAGGGAAGGAAGGGAGGAAGGAAGGAAGGGAGGGAGGGAAGAAGGGACAGAAGGAGAGGAGAGAAGGCGGAAGGATTAAAATAAAGCAAGAGTGAACAAATGAGTATTATACAAGTATTACACAAGTTCAGTATTTCCAAAAGCAGGGCGGGCTCTACAGGTTCCCTTGAGTCCCGGGATTCTATTATTCAATCGGGTGAAGCTGGCTGGAGCTGCCGTGCATAATGGGCCTTTGCACTCATCACACACGTGGGCATTTTACCAATCCCCCCGCCAGACACTGTAAATATTATTACATCCACATCTCACGAGGGAATTGGCGTTTCAAAGTTAGAGTCACGGGTCTTTTACTGTGTATTGAATCATAGACCCTCCCATGAAACTCAGAGGTCCTTAGGGGAGTAAAAATTCCAGCTTAGCATTTTAAACCCTGCAGTAGTAACTGGACTGGTCAATAGGTCTAGACCACGGCCAAGGAGAGCCCTCCAAGGTATCTCATGTCACATCTTGAGTGCAGTCAAATTCATGCGCTCAGCTAATAATTCTCTTAGCTCCTCCAGACACTTTTTGGACTGAATTCTGGATAAAGTATGATACATTTTTCATTAGCAATGGTAGAAATTATCAAAACATCATCAGATTATGTTACAAATACTAGAATCTCCATGTTTGGGTTTCTTCCAAGTATCTCGAATAATCATGATGGAGATAGGGTGGAGATCACAGTTATATTCGTCCCAGGCTATTAAAAACTAAATGAATGAAATGGGACATTGACCAAAAGATTCATGACTTCAGTGTCTTCTCCAGGCACTGAGATTCAAAATAATCTCTGCTTTGCTGTTTATATTTATATCTCTGCATATTTATATTCTCTTCATATTTTCCTGCATTTCTGTGTTTGCTGGTTTTTTTTGTTGTTGGTAAGCATGCTCTAGTTGCTTTTATAGTCAGAAAAAACTACAGCCAGGTGTGGTGGCTCATGCTTGTGATCCCAGCACTTCAGGAGGCCAAGGCAGAGGATCACTTGAGCCCAGGAGCTTGAGACCAGCCTGGGCAACATGGCAAAACTCTGTCTCTACAGAAAATTTTTAAAATTAGCCTGTCATGGTGGGCCATGCCCATAGTCCCATCTACTCAGGAGGCTGAGGTGGGAGGATCACTTGAGCCCAGGAGTTCAAGGCTGCAGTGAGCTGTGATCATGCCGCTGCACTCCAGCCTGGGTGACAGAGCCAGACCCTGTCTCAAAAAAAAAAAAAAATTACTAAGAAACCTATTCTTGAACAAGTCACCTATGGAAGGGGTTTGATAATCTGGATGTTCATCCATGTTGCAATCTTGCTATTCAGTAGCATCCTGAGGTTAAAACAAGGTGGGGAGATTTTGACTGAAGGGTTGAAATCAGAGAGTATGGCTGAATCAAGTTGAAAAGAGACAGAAGCAATGCCTGGGGATCAAAAGAGGCAGGGAGTGAAAAAATCAATCCAGAGGTATCAGGGTCCAGGGAGGAAGGAGGGCATGGAGCCCTCCCATTTTAAGCTCTGAAAATCCCACGTCTGGGGAACTCCTCCGTTCTGGACACACCCAGGCAGCTGGTCACCTTCCCAGGGAGTGGGGATGGGTGGCCATAAAGAGACAGTGAACTCAGAAGGCAGCTGTCACCATCCTATGACTTTGGTCTGTCACCTTCACGAACATTCAGAATACTTCAATAAAATGGCCCGTCCGAAAGGCCTGATCTGTCTCCTTCCCCGAGAGTCCCGGTTCATTTCCTGAGAGATGACTTTATTCTCCATTTGTTTTCGCAGTGGTCTCTTTAAAGTCTCAGCTGTTCCAGGGAGAGTAAATAGGTTTTAAAATTAATTATCAATTAAAGCGAGGTTAATTGGCACCAGGCTAGTCATCTATTTTGTCTATAACTGAGGCAGTCCGCCCCTCCCCCTCCCCAGAACCCGGAGACCCACGTCAGGGCCAATAAACCCCAGCAGCCGAAGCCATTCATATGTGATCCGTGGACTCGTGAAAATAATTCTGGTATTTAAGCAGTACCGTTCCCTTGTCGGAGGGTGAATTCTGTGGCCATTTGGATTTTCCAGTTCATCAGTATGTAAGCGGGCCTTCTAGGTGGGCTTACCAAATTAAAAAAAAAAAAAAAAGTGTCTTGCAAATATTTTTATTGGCAGAAAGATTTTTCACCAATCTCCACTGCACTTAGGAAAATTACCGCAATAGAGTACATTTGAGCAGCCGGGTCCCAAGGACGCAGCACATTTATCACTGAGCTTGGATTTCCCCCCTTTAATTAACATCTCGCATCTCTTCTCACAGACTGATTTCATTGAAGCTCAGTCTGATTTCTTCTAAGCTCCTGAAATGTGATCCTGTGTCTGCCCTTGCCCCTCCCAGGTGGGGAGGAGGCTGAGGTTTGTGTTCATCATGATCCTTTGCTGAATTCCACGGCTTCATCTGACCTCATCATAAATGAATATTTATGAGAGTCAATAGGGAGCAATTGCAAACTGAGTTCAGCCCAGACAGGTGAGTACTTGCAACCAAGACAATTACATCATCTGATGTTGGGATGTACGCACATATTAAAATATAGCAAATTATCAACAGGACCCAAGGGGACAGAGGCTAGGTCTTCTCTGCATTCCATCACTAACCCAGAATACCTTAAAACACATAAAACAGGACTTATAAAAGCCACACGTCATCTGGGTGTCCTGAGAATATCAGTTGAGGATTTGAAACACAGTGAACCTCTTAGCAGTTAGTGTAGTGTGGTAGCTGTGAGTGTTAGGAGAAAATGCATTTGGAAATTGCTCTAAACACACAGCCATGCTGTCTCCCTACTTTCTTACCTCTCACCTCTGGGTGGGAATGAGTGATGGCTGCTTCCCTCTCAGTCTCGAGAACCCATGTGCTGGTGGGTGGCCTGGAGGCCAAGTATTCCTCTTTCTTTTTGAGACAGAGTCTTGCTGTGTCACCCAGGCTGGAGTGCAGTGGTGCGATTTCAGCTCACCTCAATCTCTATCTCCTGGGTTCAAGCGATTCTCCTGCCTCAGCCTCCCTGGTAGCTGGGATTACAGGCACTCGCCACTAAGCCTGGCTAATTTTTGTATATATAGTAGAGACAGGGTTTTGCCATGTTGCCCAGGCTGGTCTCGAACTCCTGACCTCAAGTGATCTGCCTGCCTCGGCCTCCCAAACTACTAGGATTACAGGCATGAGCCACCGTGCCCTGCTGGGGCCGAGTATTCTATATTTGTCAAGCACTGTAAACTTAAATCACCTTACCACCAGCCTGGGCAATATAAGAAGACCCTGTTTCTACAAAATAAATGAATAAAAATTAGCCTGGCATGGTGACACACACCTGTATTCCCAGCTACTCAGGAAGCTGAGGTGGGAGGATCACTTGAGCCTGGGAGGTTGAGGCTGTAAGTTAGCCATGATCGCCCCACTGCACTGCAGCCTGGGCAACAGAGTGAGACCCTGTCTCAAAGAAAAAAAAAAAATCAAACCACCTCAGAAACTTGCTCTCAGCCGCCACATCACACATATGAGACTTGGGTTGGCCCCATTGCACAGAGGAAGATATTGAGGCAAACAGAAAAGGGGACTAAGCAATGTGGGAAAAGGATCAAGACCACTGGAAAGGCAGGAGGAAAAGCCAAGTTTATGTCCTGACCCAGAGGCTGCAGTTCCTTCTGTTGCTCTTTGCATCTTCCCTTCTTCTTGTTGAAGCCTATTTCCTTTCCTTCCTCTTCATTTTCTTCTTGCAACTCTTAAACCAATTTTTCTCAACGTCTGCACTGTTGGCATTTGGGGCTGGGTACTTATTTGGGGAGGGGGCCGTGCTGGGCACCCTAGGGTGTCGAGCAGCATGCCTGGTTGCTACCCTCTAGATGCTAGCAGCAGCCCCCACCCAAGCTGTGACAACCAAAAACATCTCCACACATTGCCCAGCGTCCCCAGAGAGGCAAAATCCCCGCTGGTTGAGAACCACTGTCTTAGATCGATCAGCCACAAGGAAAGTTATTGGTTCAGCACACTGGGAACCATCAAGCCTAAATCCTGCTCCTCTTTCCTTTCTCCTCGAACCCCAAAAGCTACACATTTGGCTGTCATTTCTGGGTCCCACACCACCCTCCAGAGTCTCCCCAAGTAATAGTGTCTTTATCTTCCAGTCTCACCTGCTCTCGGATGACACCAGTTTACAACTTTCTCCATAAATTGCACAACTATATAACTTCTCATCCAACCCAGGGTCCTTCTGAGAGTGCAGGGTCATGCTGTTTAATGATCACACAGAGACAACAGGTGTAAACCAAGACCGTCCTGGGCAAACGGGGACATATGGTCACCATAACAGAAGCTGCTTCTTAGAAGGGAAGGACACCTTGTTTGTGAGTCTGAAGTCTGACAAGGGGACTCCCCAATGTCACGTTCAGCTTCCAAGTTTGCACTCCTGGGCTGTGTTTGCCAGATTATTCGGCTGGGAAACAGCTCATCAACGGAGGTAAAAGAAATAGACAAGCAGCTGGGTGCAGTGGCTCACGCCTGTCATCCCAGCACTTTGGGGGACCGAGGCAGGCAGATCACTTGAGGTCAGGGGTTCGAGACCAGCCCTGGCCAACATGGTAATAACATGGTAATAAAATAAATTTTGTGTGTGTGTTTGTTTTAAGGCAGGGTCTCACTGTTACCCAGGCTGGAGTGGAGTGGTGCAATCTTGGCTCACTGTAGCCTTCACCTCCTGGGCTCAAATAATCCTCCCACCTCAGCCTTCTGAGTAGCTGGGACCACAGGCCTGTGCCATCACACCCGACTTATTTTTTATTTTTTTGTACAGAAGAGTTTTCATCATGTTGCCTAGGCTGGTCTTGAACTCCTGACCTCAAGCAATCCACCCGCTTCAGTCTCCCAAAGTGCTGGGATTACAGGTGTGAGACATCGCACCCAGCCAGGACTCGAGTTTTTAAAAAGGAATTAGAATACATCCGCGTTCGTAGCACCACTATTCACAATCGCCAAAAGCTGGAAGCAACCCAAGTGTTCACCGATGGGTGAATGGATAAACAGAATGTGGTATACACACATCATGGAATACGGTATTATTCAGACATGAAAAGCAATGAAATTCTGACACGTGTTGCAATACAGATAACCTTGAAATATTATGTTAAGTGAAATAAGTCAGTCACAAAAGCACAAATCCTGTATGATTCTTCTCATATGAGGTACTTAGAGTAAGTACCTTTATGAATTTGGCTAATTCTTGGTTACAGAAAGTAAAATGATAGTGACCAGGAGCTGGAGAGAATGGGGAAAGGGGAGAGTTAGTGTTTGATGGGTACAGGGTTTCAGTTTTGCAAACTGAAAAGAGTTCTTGCAACCGGGCACGGGTGGCTCATGCCTGTAATCCCAGCACTCTGGGAGGCCGAGGCGGGAGGATCACTTGAGGTCAGGAGTTCGAGACCAGCCTGGCCAACATGGTGAAATGTGCGTCTACCAAAAAAATACAAAAATTAGCCGGGTGTGGTGGCAGGCGCATGTAATCCCAGCTACCTGGGAGGCTGAGGGAGGAGAATTGCTTGAACCTGGGAGGTGGAGGTTGCAGAGAGCCGGGATCATGCTACTGCACTTCAGCCTGTGCAATAGAGTGAGACCCTAACTCAAAAAGAAAAAAAAAAGAGTTCTTGAAGAGATAGATGGCAATGATGGTGGCACAACAATGTGAATGCACTGAATGCCACAGAACTACATACTTAAAATTGTTAAAATGGCAAATTTCATGTATGTGCATTTTACCACAATAAAAAACATAGTAATGAATGATTCCAAAGGAAAGTGAGCTAGGGCCGTGTTCAACAGGGAAATGCCAGTTACGTGGTATCTGGATTCTTGTCTTATGTGTTCCTACCCAGCACAGAAGGAGGGGAGTATAGGGTCTATTACACATGAAATGACACACGTTTAGGTAAAAATACTTTGGGGTTAAGTGGTAGTGTCCCTCTTATGAGAGAAGTTAACCTGTCCTGGGCTCAAGAAACACGAGTTATCAGCAAGAACCTTGGAAAATAGCATTCTCAATTTCTCAAAACCTACAGTTTTCCCGCCCTGCCTCCCCGTCCCCATTTTTTTTAAACCACTCTCTGTACTAACCCGAGACGCTAACAGAAATAGCAACATCCTCTTTGTGTGTCACTGTGTAGTATCCCTGCGGTCTCTTGCTTCCAACGATTTTCTTGAGACACTATTTTTAAATCCCCTATTAGCAAAAAGGGAAACTGCGTCTTCCACCACAACCTCCCCGCTCTGCCCAGCCCAACCCCCTGACTCCTCCAAATATGAAAAAACAAGAACAATTTGTTCCGATCTGCCACTGTGAGTTATTAGAAGGAGGCTCAGCTGTCACCTTCTTAATGGGCTTTATGCAAAGCACTCTCTCCAAGACTGTGCAGTTCAGTGGCCAGGCCTTGCCTCACCAGGGCTCTGAGCAGAATTTGCTGTAAATGGGGTTAATCTATACGATCCAGGGGATGCATGCCAGATAACTCATAAAAGCAAGAGAATGCAAGATTAGAGAAGCTTGCGGCTTCAGTGTGAACAAAGTGAAGTTGGACTTGGTCAATGACTGGGAGACACAGGGAAGAAACTTTGAGAAGCCAAGTGTAGTGGGTTGTGAAGTGTGTACACAGTGGGTACTGGATCCATGAACAGAATGGAAAGAATTCCTTTTTGTTTGTTTGTTTCAAAACAGGGTCTCGCTCTGTCACCCAGGCTGGAGTGCAGTGGAGCAATCATACCTCAATGCAGCCTTGACCTCCCGGGTTCAAGCGATCCTCCCACCTCAGCCTCCCAAGTAGCTAACTGGGACCACAGGTGTGTACCATCTTGCCTGGCTAGTTTTTAAATTTTATGTAGAGATGGGATCTCTCTATGTTGTCCAGGCTGGTCTCAAATTCCTGGACTCAACTGATCCTCCCACTTTAGCCTCTCAAAGTGCTGGGATCACAGGTGTGAGCCACTGTCCCCAATCAAAAATGTTCTTTATTTACCCTACATTAGGAGATATGAGTGACATGGGTTAACTGATGATTCTGAAGGAGAGAACTATTGAGGTGTGTGTGTGTGTCTGTGTAAGGGTCTAGAATCAATTTAAGATTTCAGCAAAAGCTAGACACCCTGCCGCCCTATCCACTGAGCCATGAACGCCTGTCTCAAACAGCTGAAGGTCAGAGCTGGTGAGTCTGGGTAACAAATATTGGCATAGCTTTATTTTGAGCAAAGTCAAGCTACTTCATCTTCCACCATGCTCCTTGGGAAAATATTTTCTAGGAGCCGAACTATTTTTGGACGCAAAACGAAACCTGCTCATCTCGTTTGGAGTTAAATATGGAGGGAACTAGGAGTGAGCATGTTTCTGTAAATATTCATTAATTCAACAAAATGGCCTTACTATGGGTAAGGCGCTGCGCTAGTTAGGTCTGGGAATACCAAGAGAAGAGCATTTTGAAATGACACATGTTTAGGTAAAAATACCTTGTGGTTAAATGCCAGTGTCTCTTGCTCAATTTAGGATAGTGAGTAGCTGAGGGCCTATGGTGGCAAGCTGGGGGTATAACTTTCCCTAGATGATGGGAATAGTCTTTTTTGTTTGATGTTACTTCTGCTAACTATGTTTCTCAGAGCAAAAGTAAACATGAAGGGCCAAGGGAGTTCCACAAATATTTGTTCTTCAGTTAATATTAATGTATGTTCGTGTTTACTTGAATTTTCAAGTGTACTCTGAATTGGTACTGACTGGCCATAAAGAAACGAGCAGCAAAACTGATAAGGACAATGAGAAGACAGGTGCTAGTTTCCTTTTTCTTTTTTTCTTTTTTTTTTTTTTTGTTGAGACAGGGTCTCACTCTGTTGCTCAGGCTGCCGTGCAGTGGTGTGATCATGGCCACTGCAGCCTCAAACTCCTGGGCTCAAGCAATGCTCCCACCTCAGCCTCTGGAGTAGCTGAGACTACAGGCACGTGCCACCATGCCTGGCTAATTTTTTTTTTTTTTTTTTTGTAGAGGTGGGGTTTCACCATGTTGCCCAAGCTGGTCTTGAACTCCTGAGCTCAAGCGATCCTCCCACCTTGCCTCACAAAGTGCGGAGATTACAGGTGTGAACCACCTTGGCTGGCTAGTTTCTTTGTAACTCTTTTCAGAGTCCTTAAATGGTGTCCCTGACAATTCTTGTTTTTGTTTTTTATCTTATTGGCCAATATTACTTAATCCCCAATACTAAAGTCAAAGAGAAGTTAACAATTACAGAGTACTCCTATGTAAGTGCTTTAAATTCATGGTCCTTAATTGGCCTCCAAGAGTTCTGTCGTTCCCATTTTACAGGCCCAGGAAACAGAAATGAAATCACTAGCCAAAGGTCAAGTGATTTGAGCCGGAGCCCGTCTGGCTCTAAAGCTCTCCAGAATTATGCAGATAAATGAAAAGACACACTTCCTTTGAGGAAGCATAGAAATTGGAAAATAAATGAAATCAGAGTTCGTTTTTCCCAGTGCATTGCAAAATTTTGCTTTCAGATTATTCATCACTTCATAGAGAATAGGGAAGAGGTGGGGCGATGGAGAACTCAAGCATCCAAAACCACTGTCAGTTGAGGATGACTATTTTTTGTCTTTTTTTTTTTTTAAATATGGAGTCTCGCTCTGTCTCCCAGGCTGGAGTGCAGTAGTGCCATCTTGGTTGACTGCAACCTCCACCTCCCAGGTTCAAGCAATTCTCCTTCCTCAGCCTCCTGAGTAGCTGGAATTACAGGCACTCGCCACCATGCCCGGCTGATTTTTGTATTTTTAATAGAGATGACGTTTCACCACGTTGGCCAGGCTGGTCTCAAACTCCTGACATCAAGTGGTCCACCCACCTCGGCCTCCCAAAATGCTGGGATTATAGGCATGAACCACCACACCCATCCAGTTAAAGATGATTTTGGAATAAGGATGAAGCATCTCTGAAATCATAATGCTGAAAAATTGGAAAATACAATTCAATTTAAAATGTTTGATCTACACCCAGCTTTTAGATTACTCATTCATAGCATAAACTAAAACACATTAGCAAGAAAGGAGGAGAGACAGCATGGTATATGAGAAAGAGGAGGGGCTTTGGAGTCAGATGATGCTGGATTCAAGAACATGTACAAGCTGTGTGACCTTAGGCAAACTGCTTAGCCTTTCTGAGCTGCAGTGTCCTTGTTTATGAACTGAAGGTAATAACACTCGCTTCAGCAGGGTTATTGTGAAGTTTAAATAGGATACAATACACAATGCACCCATCCCGTGGGGGATAATTAAGAAATATCAATTTCCTCCTTTTATCCATTTACTAGATATAAACTTGTTACTGAAGTATCTGAGGCCACTTCTAGGGCTTCAGATTGAGAATAGTATTGATAGGCTATAAAGGGATTAGCAAATAATCCTACTTTTTTTTTTTTTTTGAGACAGGGTCTCACTCTGTCACCCAGCCTGAAGTCTGGAATGCAGAGGCGCAATCTCGGCTCACTACACCCTCCACCTCCTGGGTTCAAGCAATTCTCCTGCCTCAGCCTCCCAAGTAGCTGGGATTACAGGCATGCACTACCACACCTGGCTAATTTTTGTATTTTTAGTAGAGACGGGGTTTCACCATGTTGGCCAGGCTGGTCTTGAACTCCTGACCTCAGGTGATTCGCCTGCCTCAGCCTCCAAAGTGCTGGGGTTACAGACGTGAGCCACCGCACCTGACTGACCCAAAGATGTGTACTTGTGACTCAAATGTGGAGATGTGTCCCTTTGTGGATTGGTGCCACAAATGTGCCAACAGACATATGCCTACTTTCTCAAGTCAAAGAATTCTTTCAACACAGCCCTTCATAAATGGAAAACCCGAATGAGTGTTCAACCTCTAAGTAAGTTTGGAAATCCCAACAGAACATCTCCCCTTAGAAATCCCAACAGAACATCTCCCCTTAGAAATCCCAACAGAACATCTCCCCTGAGGTTTATAATTCACTTGAATGGCAAACCCTACATGACGACAGAACTCTTTCCACTTAATGCCTATTATTCATCTTAGGAAACTGGTGTCCCAGGATCTCACACTGGAAAATGCTGTCTTCAGACCCGCTGAGATCTACTGCATTCCAACAGTATTAAAAGAAAGAAAGAAATGTCTAGCCACTTCTGACTTGACCTTGGCAATGGGAACTGGTTCCTATTGGCTTTCTCTTTCAAAGTCATTGTACGTCTCACATGCATTCACATTTTAGTTTATTGTACTTAACAAGGGGCAATTTATGCCCGTTTCAGAATGTGAGAGCTAAATGATTAGACGGGGGAGAGAAATGATATGGCCAAGAATCAAGAGCGTTTCCTGCCGCTAATGTCCACAATGAGGAAAAAATACGAAGGCTGTGCTTGCTTCAATATGGGCAGATACTAATTTTCCCCACTTAAAATTCCTTAAAAGTTCAAAGGTCCATATTTGGCACATCAAAGAGGATTTTATTGGGCACACCAGAAGGTTAGTCCTTTCCAAAGAGCCACAGAATCACAAGAGGAAATAAGCATGCAATTTATCACTTTGTCATGACTCAACCAGGTCCCAATCAACACGCTAAGATCCCTGAAGCCAACAGGAGCCATTGACTCAATAATCAACAGCAAGAGTCAGGATAGACAATACCAATGGATTTGCAGAATATTGTCCTACTTGAAATAGCTGTTATCCAGTGTCAATCATAAAGCTGGAACTGCTTTCATGGCGCATGAAAACATTTCGACGCTGTGGTCAGCAAAAGACACATTTTAGTGTTTATGTCAAAAGACTTTGAAAAGCAGAATTCTAGCATGGCTAGCAAGATTCCCAGTCCATACTGTACACATACCTCTCCCAGTTACTCAGGCATTAATCTAGGCATTGCTGTGAAGGGATTCTGCAGATGTCATTAAGGTTCCAAATCAGTTGACCTTAAGATACAGAGATGATCTGAGCAGGCCTGACCTAATCCCGTGAGCCTCTTAAAGCTGAGTCTGGAGATCAGAGACAGAAAAGTCAGAGCTTCAAAGAACAAGGATACAACATGCTGTTGCTGGCTTGAAGATGAAAGGTTCCATGTAGCAAGGAATGTGGGCAGCCTCTAGGCACTAAGGTTGGCCCCAGATGACAGCCAGTAAGAAAGCAGGGACCTAGGTTCTACAGTTACAAGACACTGAATCCCACCACCCACAGGAATGATCTGGGAATTTTCCCTGGAGGTTCCAGACAAGAACTCGGTCCAGATGACACCTTGATTTCAGCCTGGTGATACCCTATGCAGAGAACCCAACTACAGCATGTCCGACCTCTAACCTGCAGAACTGTGATCTAATAAGTTGGAGCTGTCTTTAAGCTTCTGGTCGTTTGTTACACGGCAATAGAAAACAAGTACAAGCCTTAAGCAACAACTCAGGGATAGTCTGGGAGCACAAGATGATTCTTAAGGAAGAATCGATGCAATTGCAGAATGCAATGATTTTTAAGACCCCCTACTGCTTTTGTACGTTCAATATCTCAGCTGACAATTTCTCCTAAGTTCATCAGCATTGAAGTAGAAAACAGAAGTGGCAGAAATGCAAGTTAAAAATGCAACGAGATCTCACCCATTAGAATGAGATCTCCTAACGGAGATCCACCCCATCAGGATGGATATATTAAAAAATTGCGGCCGGGCGCGGTGGCTCACGCCTGTAATCCCAGCACTTTGGGAGGCCGAGGTGGGTGGATCACAAGGTCAGGAGATCAAGACCATCCTGGCTAACACGGTGAAACCCCGTCTCTACTAAAAATACAAAAAATTAGCCAGGCGTGGCGGCGTGCGCCTATAGTCCCAGCTACTCGGGAGGCTGAGGCAGGAGAATGGCGTGAACCCGGGAGGCGGAGCTTGCAGTGAGCTGAGATCGCGCCACTGCACTCCAGCCTGGGTGACAGACCAAGACTCTGTTTCAAAAAAAAAAAAAAAAATTGCAAAAGGACAATAACAAATGTTGGCAAGGATGGAGAGAAACTGGAACTCTCATACATTGCTGGTAGGAATGTAAAATGGCGTACCTTGGAAAACAGCCTAGCAGAACCTCAAAAGATTAAACATAGAGTTACCAAATGACCCAGCAATTCCACTCCTAGGTATATACCCAAGAGAACTGAAAACAAATGTTCACACAAAAACTTGAACATGAATGTTCATAGCAGCCTTATTCATCGTAGCCAAAAGGAAGAATAACCCCAATGTCCATCAGCAAAAGAATGGGTAAATAATATGTGGTTTATCTATACAATGGAATATTATTCAGCTACAAAAAGGAATGAAGTACTGATACATGCTGCAATGTAGAAGAACCTTGAACACATCATGCTAAGTGAAAGATAGCAGTCATGAAAGACCGCATAGTATATGCCTCTATTTATATGAAGTGTCCACAATAGGTAAAGCCTTACAGACAGATTAGTGGTTGCCAAGGGGGCAGGGGGGAAGTTGAGACAAATTGCTAATATGTATTGGGTTCCATTTTGGGGCAATGGATGTGGTCTAGAATTAGAGAGCAGTAAGGTTTGCAGAACATAGAGAATATATTAAAACCCACTGAAATGTACACTTTAACAGGGTGAATTTTATGTTATATAAATTATTTTTCAATAAAAAATTTAAAAATTAAAACAGAAGTAGCAAAGATCTCATGGATGAAGGGATTTTTAAAAAATACATCTATTCTCCATGTTTTATTCCACCCTCCAGGTTTTTACTGTGAAAAGTTTCAAACATATAGTAAGGTTGAAGAAATGAATCCCTGAATACCTCCTACCCACATTCGACAGTTGTTAATATTTTGCAACATTTGCTTGAATGCTCTCTCATTTTCTGCCAATGCCCGCCCATACGCAGGGAGTTTGGTTTTTTTTTTTTTTTCCTTCAGTGAATCATGTTTGTTCGTCTTGCCCACACCATGAATATAAGTTTTTTAGTTTTTATTTTGCATTCCCCAAATTATCTAACAATAAACACTGCCATAAACACAGCAATAACCTCTGATAAACAAAAATGAAATGCTTCACTCATCTCCAGAAACACTACTCACTAGAGCAGCAGTCTTCAAACAGTCTGTAAGTAGCAGAACTCTTCCTTTGATTGGCATAGCATTCAGATGAGCTTCAGTTACCTAGAAAAACTAACAGTGGTAAGACTTCAATATAGAGAGCTTTGTGCACAGTGAGTGAATCGTAGCTGCTGCTGTTGAGTTGCAAATAAACCAGGTGTTACCAAAATAGTAAACAAGCAGCTTCAGCTTGGGTATAAGCAGCAGGACAAAAAGGCTTTTGGATTAGGGAAGTTATTTAATGCAGTAAAATTTATGTTTTAGGCTTATCATCAAGCACAGAGGCGACAGTGTTCATTGACTGGGAGTGGCTGCTTGGAGTGCTGGGTTGCTCTGATTGATTAGTGATGTCTGCCACGGTACAGGATGTGCTCTATTCTGAGAGGCCATGTTTTCCCCATCTGATCTAGATTTATAAATACAGCATGAATGCAGAGATGAGGCCTGTCCAGTCCAAAATCAATTTTGATAAAGATGTCTAGGTTCCTCCTAAATGCTCTTTATCATGCCTGACTTTTTCTTCCTGGCATCACTTTGCTGCTCACTTAGGCAACCTCCCACCCACTCTTCTCCCACCACCCCTTTTTTTTATTACCAAGATGATAGAAACCACGGAAAGTTAACAGACAGAAAAACAGCTCATGGTACCATTGCAATCAAACTCTGACACATTGGGTATAATGCCTAAAATTGAGAGGAGAAGAAACCTCATAAAGACTAAAACTCACCTTCCCTCCCCCTTTCAGCTTGAAATAATTTAGCATTTCCTGCTGGCTTTCTTTGAGGGGTGGCTTCCAGGTATAATTCCTCAAACAGGGAATATTTTTAAATGTATCCATATCACAACTTCAATCACTATGTTAAGTGAAGATTCAGCACTCTAGGCCAGCAACGATTTCTAGAAATATTTTGGCATTTCATTCGTAGCTCTCAGCCAAGTCATCTCTTGTCTCATATAAAAACTTTCTGATGAACCCACCATAGATAATCACAACGCATTGCACCTATATAACACATAATACGTTTGAAATGATTTTTACAAAAACTGTCTAATTTCATCTGACCTAGGTTACGAAGGATATATGATGATTCCCATTTTACAGCTGAAAACACTAAGTGTCTGAAAAATAAAGTGAATGCTCTGAAATCACATAGAATGGAATAGCATGGCCCAGTATTTCTCCCAGAAATATTCTCTAAGGGTAAGGGAAAGAGCTTGGACCTTCTTACCAGCTGCATAAGAAATACAGGGAAGTTAGTTAGCAAACCTCTCTGAGCCTCACTTTCCTCATCTGTAAAATAGTAAAAGTCATAGCTACCGCATAGCCTTAATATGAGAGAAAAAGGTATACAAAGTGCCTACCTCTTGCAGTAGGCTGAAAAATACCTCTCCAAAGATCTACTTCCAATTCCCAGAACTTGTGAATATTACCTTCTATGGGAAAGATGTGATGAAGGATTTTTTTTTTGAGACTGCGTCTCACTCTGTCGCCCAGGCTGGATTGCAGCACCACGATCTCGGCTCACTGCAACCTCCGCCTCCCGGATTCAAATGATTCCCCTGCCTCAGCTTCCTGAATAGCTGGGATTACAGGCGTATGCCACCACGCCTGGCTAATTTTTGTATTTTTAGTAGAGACAGGGTTTTGCCATATTGGCCAAGCTGGTCTTGAACTCCTGGCCTCAAGTTATCTGCCCACCTTGGCCTGCCAGCGTGTTGGGATTACAGGCATGAGCCCTCACTCCCAGCCTGATTAAGGATCTTGAGATGAGAACATCATCTTGGATTATCTAGGCAGGCCCCCACATACAATCACATATATCTTTACAAGAGAAAAGCAGAGAGAGATTTGACACTCAGGCATACAGAAGAGAGGCTATGTGAAGATGAAGGCAGAGATCAGAATGATGTGGCCACAAGCCAAGGAACTCTAGCAGTCTCCAGAAGCCAGAAGAAGCCAGGAATGGATTCTCCCCTGGAATTTCTGGAGGGAGTATGGCCCGGGCAGCACCTTGATTTCAGGCCAGTGAAACTGAGTTTGGCCTCCAGAATTATGAACGAATACATTTGTATTGTTTGAGGCCACCAGGTTTGTGGTAATTTCTTACAGCAGCCATAGAAAACGAATGCACCCCATGTCTGGCATTTGCTAAGTATCTAATAATTGGTGATTGCTGGCTCCCCAACCTGTTTTGTAAATAAAGTTGTATTGAAACACAGCCATGCCCATTCACTTGCATATTGTTTGTGGTTGCTTTTACACTTCAGTAGCAGAGTTCAGTAGTCACGGCAAGACCATATGACCTGCAGCTCTAAAGTATTTAGTATCTGGCCCTATAAAGAGAACATTTGCCCACCCTGCAACAGATGCATCCAACAGTGAAAGTCATTTCTCATGTCTTTGCATATTATCTTTGTGTGGTGGTAGCTAATCTTCAAAGATGGCCCTGGGGAACCACACTTCCTGGTAGGTGCCCACACTCTTGTGTGCTCTTCTCACTTGTTAATTCGGGCTTGGCCTATGTCACCAACAGCCTACTGTAGAAGTGATGCTGCATGACTTTTGAGCTAGTTCATAAGGAACCTTGCTCTCTCAGAATGCTTGTGGAAGAAGTCCATTGCCATGTGAGAGTCTAGCTGCCCTGAGACGGCCATGCTGTGAGGAAGCCCCAGCTAGACTAGGAAGGGTCCATGTGGAGAGAGAGATGCCAGCCAGCTCTGGCTGTTCCAATCATCCCAACTGAGACAGCAGACATTTGAGTGAATAAACCATCCTTGAGCCTTTAGATGACTCTACTTCCAGCTGCTCCAGTCAACCCACAGAACCATAAAAAATTCTCTAATAATAAATTGCTTTAAGCCATTAAGTTTTGGAACTGTTTGTTACATGGAAATAGATAATCAGAAAACCATACCATCTAGGCTTTTCCATGTACCTGTCCTATTCAATGATTTAACTACCAAATCCTTAAGAAATAAGACCAAATCCTTTCTCATTTATAAGGAAACATCAATAAACTTTTTTTCTTTCTTTTTTTAAATAGAGAGAGGGTTTCACTATGTGGACCAGGCTGGTCTTCAACTCCTGGGCTCAAGCGATCCACCTGCCTGGGCCTCCCAAAGTGCTGGGATTATAGACGTAAGCCACCACGCCCTGCCCATTTTTTTTTTTTCTAAGTTAGGACAGAAGGGGAGGAAAATGAACACACCCACCAGCGGCATGCACTTAACTTAGATTCTTCATCTAATGCTTAATTTGAAATAAGTGCTATGAGTTCCAACTTACAGATGAGAAAACCGAGGCTTTGTATGGGACTTGTCCTAACTGGGTCACAGAGCGACATCAGCGTGTGATCCCAGTAGGGGGATGCATCTTGACCTCCAGCTGTTTTCAGCAACTACACTATGCAGACAGCCAGCAGCAGAAGCCACTGTTCAAGCAGGGTGCTCCTTTCAAGATTTCAACAAATATTTGTGCCAAAACCCTTGCTGATGCTGGAGCTGGGGATAAGACTCGCAATCTAATCAGAGAGAAATGCTTCAGGCGGCAGCAACAGGGAGGCAGGAGGCACCGTGAGGACAGAGAGGAGGGATCCATTAATTAGAGGGGGAAGGGAAAGGCTGTGGTGGGGGAGGAGAGAAGAAGGAATTGGGAAGAGGGGTAAGTGGAACACAGTGAGAACCTGCAAGATGTGTTTGGAGAACACTGGTTCCTTCCATCCGGCTAAGGCAGGGAGATGTCGAGACAACAAGGCAGATCACAGTGGAAATTGATGCTAGGTCTGGGTCTCCTCCCTAACCTCCCCTGCCACCACACATACATGTGCGCACACACACACAACACGCACACCACACACCATATGCACACTACACGGACATCCCACACATACACGTGCACACACAACACATATACATATGCACCAGACACACATAAGCCTCTTGTTTAACAGTAATTGAGTGTCTATCAAATGGCAGGTACTCCAGGAGAGCACTGATGTAATATTACCTTCAGAGCTGGGCTCAGGGGCACGCACCTGTAGTTCCAGCTACTCCAGAGGCTGAGGCGGGAGGATCCCTTGAGTCCAGGATATTGAGGCTGCAGTGAACTGTGATCGCACACTGCACTCCAGCCTGGGCAACAGCCTATCCGTGTGTGTGTGTGTGTGTGTGTGTGTGTGTGTGTGTGCTTCATGTATTACCTTCAGGAGCTGCCTAGAAGTTCATACCCCTGTTACAGGAAAGGGATTCCAATCCAGACCCCAAGAGAGGGTTCATGGATCTCACACAAGAAAGAATTCAGACCAAGTCCATAGAGTAAAATGAAATCAAGTTTATTAGGAAAGTAAAGGAATAAAAGAATAGGCAGAGCAGCCCCCAGGGCAGCTGGTTGCCCATTTTTATGGTTATTTCTTGATGATATGCTAAACAAGGGTGGGTTTCCTTCCCTTCCCTCTTCCTTACCTCTTCCTTCCCTTTCCTTCCCTTCCCTCTTCCTTCCCTCTCCTTCCTGTCCTCCTTCCTTCCCACTTCCTTCCCTCCCCTTCCTGTCCTCCTTCCTTCCCTCTTCCTTCCCTCCCCTTCCTTTCCCCCTTCCTTCCCTCTTCCTTCCCTTTCCTTCCCTTCCCTTCCTTTCCCCCTTTCCTTCCCCCTTCCCTTCCTTTTTCCCTTCCCTTCCCTCTTCCTTCCCTTCCCTTCCCCCTTCCCTTCCCCTTCTCTTCCCTTCCCTCTTCCTTCCCTTCCCTTCCCCCTTCCCTTCCCCTTCTCTTCCCTTCCCTCTTCCTTCCCTTCCCTTCCCCCTTCCCTTCCCCTTCTCTTCCCTTCCCTCTTCCCTTCTGTTCTCTCTTTCCTTCCTACTTCCCTTCCCTTCTCTCTTCCCTTCCCTTCCTTCTTCCCTTCCCTTCCTTCTTCCCTCTCCTCCCCTCCTCTCCCCTTCCTTTCCTTCTTTTAAATGAACATAGTGGACAAAGAGGGAAACCCATATTTAAATAAGACATTTGCACCCAGCCGACTTTTTGACCTGTCCAGGAGCCTATTAAATTAGGAGATTTAAAATCCAACAGGCAGATCACTGCGTTCATCCACATGACAACAGAAGACGGAATGGGGACCGCAGGTGATGTTTATCACTTTCTTTGAAAGTGTCGGGGTAGAATTGGAGACCAATCACCTGGCTACATTTCTGCCGCTGCTTGTCAGCAACTCATGTAACCCATGGGAATGTACATCCCAATAATGTTCCCGACTCCATGTGACTTCTGTGACATTATTGTTTCTTTTGATAGAAATAAGCCCTGCAAACTTCCCAAAGGAATACGTTTTTGATTCCTCCCTTTCTCCCTGTTTATCTCTCTGCATCTTCTACTTTCTTTTCTTCTTAGAATCTTCTAGGGCAGGCAGTCCTAGTTACATACGTATCTGCTGCCTCTCTGACCCACGGAGGAAGTCCCTCCCTTCCTCTCTCCCACACCCCTTCCTCCTTCATCCTCTGCCTGGAAAAATCTTCTGACTAACACAGATGTTCAAACTTGACATCTAAGCGGGAGTTGATGGGGTGGCAGGTGTCTAAGGCTGAGGCTATTTAAGAGTCAGTCTAAAAAGTAGAGTATTAGCTCATGCCTGTAATCCCACCACTTTGGGAGGCCAAAGTAGGAGGATTCCTTGAGGTTAGGAGTTTGAGACCAGCCTGGGCAACATAGCAAGACCCTATCTCTACAAAAATATTAAAAAATTAGCCAGGCCTGGTGGTGCATGCCTGTAATCCCAGCTACTCAGGAGGCCAAGGCAGGAGAATCGCTTGAGCCCAGGAGCTCCAGGCTGCAGTGAGCTATGATTGCACCACTGCACTCCAGCCTGGGTGACAGAGACCCCAACTCTAACAACAAAACAGAAACAAAAAAAGCTGTGTTGGAGATAGGCAGAACGAGTTTTAGGAACACAGTGGGAGCCAGTAGGCCTGAATACATTTACCAACGTATCCCACTGAAGCCAGAAAGCCAGTCTTGTCCCTGACACCCCAATCCCATTCACCAAGGCCACCTTGCCTCCCAGCATATGCCCATCAACCTATTGTTGAGGTTCCTGGGCTCTCCCATTGCCTGGGCCCTGGGTCCATCCCAGCCCCTGTGTTCTGTGAACCTCTGCCCCTACATCATACTCTCTGCAAGACAGCCTGGAGATGGGTTGGAAACATGAGACATGCTGTGCTGTGGAAGTCTCCCTAGCAAAGGTGATACTTCATGACAGTCTCTAAGGACAAGCAAGAGGTAGCCAGGTGAAAGAGAGACAAAGAAAGCATTTCAAGCCAAGGACACACCTATGCAAAGACTCAGAAACTGTAAACATATTTAATCAAATTCCAGAAACTACAGGTAGTTCTGTGAGGTCAGGCCCTAAGGAGGTTTAGTGTGGGGAGGGGAAAGGGTCTTACCATTGGAGCGAGGCTGAGAAGTTAGAACATTATGCTGAGGGCTACAGAAGCTCTTCAAAAGCTTATGAGAGGGCCAGGTGCAGTGGCTCAGGCCTGTAATCCCAGCACTTTGGAAGGTGGAGGTGGGAGGATGGCTTGAGGGCAGGAGTTCGAGGTTGCAGTGAGCTATGATCACGCCATTGCACTCCACCCTGAGGACAAGGCAAGACCCCATCTCTAAAATAAATAAGCTTATGAGATATAGAAGTGTTCATAGCAGCATTATTCACAATAGCCAAAAGGTGCAAACAACCCAAACACCTATCAACAGATGAATGGTGATATGGTTTGGATTTGTGTCCCAGCCCAAATCTTATGTTGAATTGTAATCCCCAATGTTGGAAGAGGGACCTGGGGGGAGGTGATTGGATTACGGGGGCGGATTTCCCTCTTGCTGTTCTCATGATAACAAGTGAGTTCTCACTGGTTGTTCAAAAGTGTGTAACACTTCCCTCTTCTCTGTCTTCCTCCTTCTCTGGCCACGTAAGACGTGCCTGCTTCCCCTTCACCTTCCACCATGACTGTAAGTTTCCTGAGTCCTCCTCAGCCATGTTACCTCTACCTCCTGAAGAACCGTAAGCCAGTTAAGCCTCTTTTCTTTATAAATTACCCAGTTTCAGGTAGTTCTTTATAGCAATGGAAGAACAAACTGATACAAATGGATAAACAGAATGTGGTCTATCCATACAACAGAATATTATTCAGCCTTAAAAAAGAATGAAGTTCTGATGCATGCCACAATATGGATGAGCCTCAAAACATGCTAAGTGTAAGAAGTCGGGCACAAAGATCATGTATTGTATAACTCAATTTATACAAAATGCCCAGAACAGGCAAATCAATAGAGACAGAACCCAGACCGGGGGCTGCCAGGGGGTGGGGGTGGGGGAATGAGGATGACTGCTTAATAGGTAGAGTATTTTTGGAGTATGAAAATGAAAGTGTTCTGGAACTAGATAAGGTGATGGTTGTACAACATTGCAAATGTACTAAATATCACTGAATTGTATATGTTAAGATGGTTAGTTTTTTGTTATATGAATCTTGCCTCCATTTTTTAAACAGTATGAGAGGAACAGTTTCTTGGTTTAGTAAATATCTATCGCATAATTTGAGGGATCTACATCACAGAGCAGACCTCAGAACCCAAGGCAGGTTTTTCATTCAGATGCAACATTCTCCCAATTCCTTAGCTGTCAAAAGGGTTGGGGGAGCTTCAAACTCCAGCTGACAACACCATAGCTTTCAAAGTGAAACCAAAGATGAGAGCTATGGAAAGTGGACAGAGTCCAGGCCATTTCCAAACAGTAATCTCTGCCTTCCTCTTGTTCCAGCCACAAAACAGAACTCACACTTAAAAATGTCAGTCTAGGCTGGACACAGTGGCTCATGCCTATAATCCCAGCACTTCAGGAGGATCACGTGAGCCTAGGAGTTCAAGACCAGCCTGGGCAATATAGCAAGACCTGGTCTCTACGATAAAAAATAAAAACATTATCTGGGCATACTGGCGTGCACCTGTGGTCCCAGCTCTTCCGGCAGCTGAGGTGGGAGGATTGCTTTAGCACGAGAGGTAGAGGTTGCAGTCAGCCAAGATTGCACCAGCGTGGGTGACAGAGTGAGACCTCATCTCAAAAATAAAAATACAAAAAGTCATCATTTGAGCTGCCTGTGAATGCCGGTAGCTTCCCCTCTAACTGGCTGCTTCCATGGTTTGGAAGTCCCAGGAGGAAGTACATCTTGTTCGGGAGAGCTTGGGGGTAATTGCCTGAATCCTTTCCCCAGTACTTCCTTCCACATAATGTTTTTAAATTTCCTCCAGATGACTGCCACCCCTGGTGATATGGTTTGGCTGTGTCCCCACCCAAATCTCATCTTGAATTGTAGCTCCGACAATTCCCACATGTCGTGGGAGGGACCCAGTGGGAGGTAATTGAATCATAGGGGCAGGTCTTTCCGGTGCTGTTCTTGTGACAGTGAATAAGTCTCATGAGATCTGATGGTTTTATAAAGGGCAGTTCCCCTGCACAAATTCTTCTTGCCCACTGCCATGTAAGACATTCCTTGCTCTTCCACCATGATTGTGAGGCCTTCCCAGCCATGTGGAACTGTGAGTCCTTTAAACCTCTTTCTTTATAAATTACCCAGTCTCGGGTATGTCCTTATTAGCAGCATGAGAACAGACAAATACACCTGGTTTTTGGCCTTTCTTCTAAAACCACAATGTTATTTCTTCTAGCTCAAGGAGTTGTGGGGAGGGGCATGGGGGAATTGAGCAAGGGCTTTAGAAGCTATAGCGGACATTGAGGGTGAGGTTAACATGGCTGTGCAGGAAGGAGCAGTGTTTTGGTTCTTTGCACTCCCCAAGTGCTTGAGTCTTCATCATAAGCAGGGGCATGAATTTTTTCCCTTTGCATCAATGAGGCCACCCATGGATCCCAGATGTGCCGAGGCAAGAGCAGGGAAAAGCCAGGTCGCGCAATCTATTCACAGTGCCAATGGTCTCAGTGCAGAGCAGCCTTATGAGACGAGGGAAGTATTAAAAAGAAAACGAGCCTGTAATCCCAACACTTTGGGAGGCCAAGGAGGGCGGATCACTTGAGGTCAGGAGTTTGAGACCATCCTGGTCAACATGGTGAAACCCCATCTCTACTAAAAATAAAAAAAAATTAAACGGACGTGGTGGCATGCCTCTGTAATCCCAGCTACTTGGGTGGCTGAGGCAGGAGAATCACTCGAAACCAGGAGGTGGAGGTTACAGTGAGCCAAGATTGTGACACTGCACTCCAGCCTGGGTGACAGAGTGAGACTCTGTCTCAAAAAAAAACATAAAGAAAGAGAAAGAAGAAAGAAAGAAAAAAAGAAAGAGAGAAAGAGAGAAGGGAAGGAAGGAAGGAAGGAAGGAAGGGAGGGAGGAAGGAAGGAAGGAGAGAGAGACAGAAAGAAAGAAAGAAAGAGAAAAGAGAGAAAGAGAAGAGAGAGAGGAGAGAAAGAAACAAAGAAAGAAAGGCAGAAAGAAGAAAGAAAGAAAGGAAGAAAGAAAAAGAAAGAAAAGAAAGAAAACAAAATCAAGAAAAATTTGGACGAAGTTTACAACTTTTATGTTAAGAGTCACAACTCCCTTAGGATAGTCCACAGTGGTTCTCAATTGGGGTGATTTTGCTGCCCCAGGGGACACTTGGCAATGTCTGGGGACATTTTCATTATCACAATTGGGAAGGAGGGTGCTGTTGGCATCTATGAGACAGAGGGTGCAATGCTGCTCAGTATCCTACAGCGCACATGGCAGACCCCTGCAGCAAAGAATAATCCGACCCAGAATATTAATAGTGCCATGGTTGAGAAACCCAGTTATACTGTGTTTACATTAAAAGACTAGTTCTACTTTGTATTTTGAACATACTGTTTTCAATCAAAAAAGAGAATTTTACATTTAAAGTCATTTAGATAGGACTCCAAATGTTTATTCATAGTAGTTCCTATTGATACAATTCCTAAAATAGAAAATTAAATAACATGGAGTCCCCAAAGCTTCCTCATCTTTTTCATTAATCTACAAATCTACAAACTAGGAATTTTTAGAGTATGTGCCTGAAATGTCCACAGAGGGGATGGCAGCTCTGTACAGGAGGTCTAACTGGAATTCTGGGACTCTGAGCTCTATTCCTGGGTGGATAAGGTGGTTTCGGTCCTCAGGTTGCACATAATGTGATAAATTCTCTAATAGAAATGCCAAAATGCTATAAAGATAGAGAAAGACGGTTGGGCACAGTGGCTCATGCCTGTAATCTCAGCAGTTTGGGAGGCCAAGTTGGGAGGATCACTTGAGCCCAGGAGTTCAAGACAAGCCTGGGCAATATAGTCAGACCTCGTCTCTACAAAAAGAACAAAATTAACCAGGCATAGTGGTGCACACCTGTAGTCCTAGCTATCCTAGCTACTCGGGAGGCTGAGGTGGGAGGATCACTTAAGCCTGTGAGGCAAAGGTTGCAGTGAGCCGAGATCACACTTCTGCACTCCAGCCTGGGTGACAGAGACCCTGTCTCAAACAACAACAACAACAACCAAAAGAAATAGACAAGGAGGTGATCCATTTCTCCTGTGGTATTCAGGAAAAATAAGAAGGTGAACTTTGAACTGAACCTTCTAGTAATTCTTCAAGAGAACAAAATAGGGAAGAAAATTTCAGACAAAGGAAGAACTAAGGCGTTGTTATGGGTTGAAGTGTATCCCCCCAAAAGATATGTTTAAAATCCTTATCCCCAGTACCTGAGATGATGATCTTATTTGGAAATAGTTTCATGCAGATACAATTAGCAAAGATGAGGTGATACTGGAGTAGGTGGGCCCTTAATCCAATATGGCTGGTGTCTTCATAAAAAGAGAGCACAGAGCCATGCAGGAAGGACGCCATGTACAGAGGGAGTCAAGAATGGCAGAGCTGCAGCTGCACAACAAGAATGCCAAGGTTTGGGCCAGGTACGGTGGCTCACGCCTGTAATCCCAGAAGTTTGGGAGGCAAAGTGGGAGGATCATTTGAGGTCAGCAAGATCACTTGAGGTCAGGAGTCTGAGACCAGCCTGGCCAACATGGTGAAACCATGTCTATACGACACATGGGAATTCAAGATGCTACTTGGGTGGGGACACAGCTAAACCACACCATATATTTTTTTTAATGGATAAAAGCTTGGAAAAGACAAATAAGACATATGGATGGCCAATAAGCACATTTAAAAGTGTTCAACAATTGTCACCAAGGAAATGTAAATAATAACCACAATGAGATACCACCACACACCCATTAGAATGGCTAAAATTAAAAAGACTAACATGTATTGCCTAGGATGTAAAGCAACTGGAACTCTCCTACATTGTTAGTGGAAATGTAAAAATGATACAACCACTTTGGCAAAAGATCTGGCAGTTTCGTTTTTTCTTTTCTTTTCTTTCTTTCTTTTTTTTTTTTTTTTTTTTTTGAGACTGGGTCTCACTCTGTTGCCTAGACTGGAGTGCAGTGGCATGATCATAGCTCACTGCAGACTCAACCTCCTGGGATCAAGCAATCCTCCTGCCTCAGCCTCCCAAGTAGCTAGTACTACAGGCACATGCCACCACTCTGGGCTAATTTTTGTATTTTTTTATAGAGACAGGATCTCACTATGTTGCCCAGGCTAGACTTAAACTCCTAGGCTCAAGCAATCCTCCCACCTCGGCCTCCCAAAGTGCTGAGATTACAGGCATGAGCCACTGTGCCCAGCCTGACAGTTTCTTACGAAGGAAATATACACCTACCATACAATCCAGTTACACTTAGATATTTACCCAAGAAAAATGAAAACATATGTTCACATAAAGACTTATACACAAATGTTTATAACAGCTTTAGTCATGATATTCAAAACCTGGAAACAACCCAAATGTCCATCAGTAAGTGAATGGATAAACAAATTGTAGAATACTACTCAACAGTAAAAGCGAACAAACTACTGACACACGAAACAACACAGATGAACCTTAAAAACCAGTGAAAGAAGGCAGACACAGGAATATATACTGTATGACTCCACTCTATGACATTTTAGAAAATACAAAACTAGAGTGACAGAGAGCAGATCAGCGGTTGCCTGAGGTCGGGAGTGAAAGGGAGATTGACTTTAAAGGAACTTGAAGGAATTCTGGGGGGTAATAGAAGTATTCTATACCTGGCCGGGCACAGTGGTTCATGCCTGTAATCCCAGCACTTTGGGAGGCCGAGGAAGGTGGATCACTTGAGGTCAGGAGTTTGAGACCAGCCTGGCCAACATGGTGAAACCCCGTCTCTACTAAAAATACAAAAATTAGCCGGGTGTGGTGGTGAATGCCTGTAATCCCAGCTACTCAGGAGGCTGAAGCAGGAGAATTGCTTGAATCTGGGAGGCGGAGGCTGCAGTGAGCCAAGATCATGCCACTGCACTCCAGCCTGGGCAACAGAGCAAGACTCCACCTCAAAAAACAAGAAAAAAGAAATAAAATAAATAAATAAATAAATATTCTATATCTTAATTGCAGTGATGGTTCCTTGAATGTATACACTTGTCAAAACATCAAATCAAACACTTAAAATGGATGCAGCTTATCCCACGTAAATTATATCTCAAAGCTGACTAGAAGAATAATGAAGGCAGGGGCAAAGTTTTTTATATTATTGGAGGTTTGGCTGGGTGGCGGCTTGAGTCTCTCTCCTTTTGAGCAGGTCATGTTATCCAGGTGTTCTGTTGACATGCAGCTAGGGAACAGGATTCCAAGTTTTCCTTTGCTGACTTATGTGTATGTCATCCCAGCACTCAGTAAATGATGGCACTAAAAGGTTTGAGATCAATTCTCATCTTGTGTGCTCTGCGGCAGGAAACCCTGATTGTGATTCGAGACGTTCTCTCTCTGTCGGCCTCTCTTTCAAAACGCAGAGAGACTGAAACATTTGTCATTGGCCTGAAAGAGAGAGGCTGGTTTTGGTAAGCGCCAGCCTGAACCAACAGCCAGTTAGCACAGTCTTTGATTGGGAAGGGTTGAGACACAGGGCTCCTCCTTGCCTATCTTCAAATGCGGAGAAGCTCTAGTGGGTTTGCCTGGACCCAGGGCAGGGAACCTGATGGATTCCCAGCCACCTAAGCTGAGCTCATAGGGCCAGAAGGAAACTTGAGAGCCACAGAGAGCTTCATCCCTCCTCTCATGTGATCAGAACCATCTCCATCTGCATGAGGCAGGTGGAGATGATAGGGGAGGAGGACTCCTTGGGAAACCAACTGCCAGGTTGACAGTCAGCAACTGCCTGAGGTGTCAAAGGAGCAATGGCTAATCTAAAGCCAGAGATGTGGGACATCTGCAGTCAGTGTCAATGCCCTTGTCTCTCTGGGGCCCAGGAAGCAACTGCATGAAGGTGCAGATGACCCTGCTACCCTGGAACTGGTGACTGAAATAAGGGGCAAGTTGACCCAGTGAAGCAAAGGGATGGGGGAGACTGTGGAGATTTTTTTTTTTTTTTTTGAGACAGAGTCTCCCTCTGTCACCCAGGCTGGAGTACAGTGGCATGATCTCAGCTCACCACAACCTCTGCCTCTCAGGTTCAAGTGATTCTCATGCCTCAGCCTCCCCAGTAGCTGGGATCACAGACATGTGCCACCAGGCCCAGCTAATATTTTTATTTTTAGTACAGACGGGATTTCGCCAGGCTGGTCTTGAACTCGTGACCTCAAGTAATCCGCTCTCCTCAGCCTCCCCAAATGCTGGGATTATAGGCATGAACCACTGCACCTGGCCAAGGCCATGGAGATTCTGCCCTGGCCATCTAAGTGGTCTGTCCACCTCCCCCATTATCCCACGCCTCTCAGTTCCTACGCAAGATGCAAAACATCTGGAAAAATGGACTGTATCCATTCCTCTCTTCCAAACTCCTCACTGGCCTTGATGTGCATTTAGGATAAAATCCAGACTCCGAAGCCCCCTGCATAAAATAATCCCTTAGGATGCTTGCTCATCAGGCAGATTCCAAGCTCCTGCGCCAAGATGCTGATTCAGCAAGGCTGAGATGGACCCAAGCATCTGCAATTGCAACAACCCCCTGCGGGAATCCTGATGCAGGCCACCCATGAAACTTCTTTTGGAAATTCTGTCCTCCAGATTTGACCTCTAATGCCTCTTCTCTCATCTGGTCCTGCTTGCTCTCCCCTGGTGCACGATCTCCTGTTGCAGAGCCCAGAAAGGGCCGGGTACAGGCTTTAGCCATCAGCCCCGATCTCCGACATCCCTCACACCCATTCTTTGATGTAGACAATTCTCATTTCCTCAAAGTCACATAAAGTGCTGTTTTAAACTTAACTTCAAGTCAAATAATCCATTTTCTGTATTACTGATATAGAACATTCTGGAGCTACCAGCATTCTTTCCTATATCAAAAGTTTCCAGTGGCCTGTATTTTTCTTCCTAGAACGTCAACCTTTGCCCCAAATGTACCCCCACCCCATTCTTGGAGTGATTCATGTCAAGTGTTTAGCTCCCTACTAGACTGAAATCTGTCTGAGGGCAAGAGCTCGTTTCTTCTCTGCTGTATACAAAGAGCTGAGCATATTGCCTGGAATATAATTAAGGCTTAATAAATATTTGTCACATGAACATGAAAAAGCAGGCAATTTCTGGATGACCTTCAAGTAAATAAAGTCAGTCTGAGATGCGGGAGGTCTCCACGGCAGGTAGCAAAAGGAAGACTAAGAAAAGTGAACGGTGAACGGAGCTGAACAGTGACCACCCTGTGATGTTCCCAGCTGAGGGTGAACACTAATGAACACTTGCAAATGGCCCCAGGGCTCTTCCAGACCTTTGAAATCCTAGGCCAGAGGTCATCTCTCGGCTCTGATTCAGAGACCACCTGCCACTGCGCAGCCCTGGGATTCCACTGCTCACCCCAACTGCAGAGGCCTGACTCCTCCCTTACCCCCTCCTCCGACTCCTCATAAACCAGGTTCAACTCACCTTAAAATCAGTTTCCTCATTTGTCTTTTTAAGGACTACTAAAATCCTTAAAGAGACGTTCTGATGAGCTTATTCTCTTTGACTTAAGAGTACAGAGATGTTTGGTCATTTTAAGGATTCCTCCTTTATTTTACTAAAAGTTTTGTCTTCACCCCTCTCCAGCCCCCAGCAAATATTCTGAGACCTCTGAGACCCCTGGACTCCTCCTAGGAGGGGCATAGCTTTAGGAGGTTGTGAACCCCTTAAAACTGTATCTGATCTTTTGTGTGTATATTCATGGCTTCCTATCCTATTTTAAAAGATTGAAAATCACCGCATAGTAAAAGCAACACTGTCTTTTTAACGAAAATGTCTGTGTTTAAATCCCAGCTCTACACCTGTCGATTGAAGTAACCGGGGGCAGACCATTTAAGTCATGTGAAAGCTCTGTAGATGGCTGTCATGGGATCTTACTAAATTGTCTGCATGAAAGCCCTTGTAGGCTACAAAGCATGGAATTCCAGTATGTTCTCTCTCAAGAACCTCAGCCAGGGGCCCCTAGACAATCACATTTGCTCTTTTCACCTTCCCCATCACTGCATAAGGTCTGCGCAAGTGATTCCCATTCTACACATGCGAACACTGAGGCCAAGGTAGGTGATTGAGTGTCCCTGAGGTCACAGGATCAATGACTGAAAGAAGCTGAACCTTGAAGGTAGAAAGGAGGGGAATTAAAAGAAGAAAAATAAAAACAAGAAACAAAATCATGCTTCTTTGTTGTCCTTCTGGAACTCAGACTCTGAGTGAGTTAGGTGGAGTTCTGGAATGTTTTGCAAGACGAAGATAGCTTTCCCATTCTGTCGCGTTCTTGCTCTCCTCTGACGCCCACCTGCTTGTTGCTTTCTGCTGGTGTCTCACCTTCTGCAGGCGAGGAGCGCATGAGAGTCGGGCTGGGTGAAACCGGGGCTCCATCTGCCTGCGTGCTTTCTGGGGATGTCTGAAGGTAACTTTGTGCTGGCGCCCCTTGCCAGGAAGCTGAGAAGCCTTCTGCAGCGCCACCCGGCTCCCATCCCCTCTCCGCGGAATAAGCTGGTACCAAAGCCAGCCCCTGGTGCCGCTCAACCAGATGGCAGGGGAAGCAAAACAAAAGTGACCTTGTTAGCAGAATGTGTCTTCCCCGGGAGAAGCTATTTTTGTTGTGGTTGTGAACTGAAGTCGTCTCAGCTGAATTCTCCTTCCCTGCGAGGGCTGTGGAATGTTAATTTGTTCCAAAGTTCAGTATTTTGATTAGAACCAGGAGTGCCAGATTTTGTCAGAAACATTTTGGAATGGGGTAGGCTCACACACACTCTCTCTCTCTTTCTCTCTCACTCTCTCTCTTGGCCGCTGTACAAAGTAAATGTTGTTGCAGCAGCTGCCCTGGGGGAACAGCCCATTGCAAATCGGAGCCGGGGGTGAACCGGCTCCTCCCTGTTGCCGTGACCTTATTGCCATAGAGGCACCCAGACTAGGGACAAAAGTGGAGACACCCTTTCAATTGGAGAGAACAAAGAGCCCAGCACAGAACCTGGAACGGAGGGGTCCTCAGGAAACACGTGTGAGCTGAAAAAAAGAATGAAGCCAGGCGCGGTGGCTCACGCCTGTAAACCCAGCACTTTGGGAGGCCAAGGCAGGTGGATCACAAGGTCAGGAGTTCAAGACCAGCCTGGCCAAGATGGTGAGACCTCGTCTCTACTAAAAATACAAAATTAGCCGGGCCTGGTGGCGGGCGCTTGTAATCCCAGCTATTTGGGAGGCTGAGGCAGAGAATTGCTTGAACCCGGGAGGCAGAGGTTGCAGTAAGCCGAGATTGCACCATTTCACTCCAGCCTGGGTGGCAGAGCAAGACTCCATCTCAAAAAAAAAAAAAAAAAAAAAAAAGAAAGAAAAGAATGAACTTCCCCCAAGATGTAGCGCTCAGAGTTTCTGCAACCCAGAGGTCATGTCCAAAGGGAATTATCAGAGTTCTAGATTCTGAGAACTCTATTTCTCTTTTTTCTTTTCTTTTTTAACATTGTAATTTACTTTTTTTTTTTTTTTTTTTTAGGGACAGGGTCTCCCTGTATCACCCAGGCTTGAGCGCAGTGGCATGCTCACAGCTCACTGCAGCCTCAAACTCCTGGGCTCCAGTGATCCTCCGTCCTCAGCCTCCTGAGTAAAGGGGACTACAGGCATGCATCGCCATGCCTGGCTAAATTTTTTTATTTTTTGTAGAAATGAGGTCTTGCTCTGTTGTCCTGGCTGATCTCAAACTCCTGGCCTCAAACAATCCTCCTGCTTTGACCTCCTTTGGATTACAGGTGTGAGCCATGGCACCCAGCCTGGTTCTCTTTTTCTGACCGCTTCTCTCTCTCAATGAGTTATTAAGCCAAGTCATGCATGACTATTTTCTGAATCACAAAACGAACACAGATAAGATGAAAGTGCCTCTGATCTCTACTCCAATCCTAGCCCTCTGGTCCTTCTCAGAGGTAATCAGATGCCAATGCCACACCACAGCCTCACCAGAGCTTGATAACATCAAACCTATCATTTGTTGTCGGTCTGGTGGGTGAAAAGTGTTTTTTGTTGTCTTCTTTTGTAGCATAGTATAGTAGTTAGGAGTATGGAATTTGAATGCGGGTTGCCTGGGGTCTAATCCTGGCCCTGGAGTAGCCAGAGGAGGAGCAACTGTGTGGACAACTGAACCTGGCTGAAAGTCAGCTTCGCGGTGTCTGGACCAGGAATGATGGCAGAAGTTATGTTCCAGGGTGGTCGTGAGGATCGCTGCATGAACTAGAGCGTGCTAAGTGCTCAGAGCAGGCTGGCCGGCACAAGCGTTCTGCAGGGGTTTGTTTTTATCATTGCCGCTATCATTTCCCCAATCACTTAGGACTCTGGGCACCCCCACCCCCCACCTTCACTTTCAGTTCAGTGTTGACAGTTTCCCACGTTTCCCAGTCTCCCAGCACTAAGGCTGGGAAATAACCGGGAAGCAGTGAATTCCTGGTTCTGTTTCTGCCTCTTACAGTGAGAGGTGACAGCGTACTGGCAGCCCTGCAGCCCTTGCTCGCTCTCGGCGCCTCCTCGGCCTTGGCGCCCACTTTGGCCGCACTTGAGGAGCCCTTCAGCCCGCCGCTGCACTGTAGGAGCCCCTTTCTGGGCTGGCCAAGGCCGGAGCCGGCTCCCTCAGCTTGCAGGGAGGTGTGGAGGGAGAGACGCAGGTGGGAACCTGGGCTGCGCGCGGTGCTTGCGGGCCAGCGCGAGTTCCGGGTGGGCGCGGGCTCGGCAGTCCCCGCACTCGGAGCCGCCGGCCAGCCTGCAAGCCCCGGGCAGTGAGGGGCTTAGCACCTGGGCCAGCAGCTGCTGTGTTCGACTACTCGCCATGCCTTAGCTGCCTCCCCGCGGGGCAGGGCTCGGGACCTGCAGCCCGCCATGCCTGAGCCTCCCCTCCCGGCCGTGGGCTCCTGCGCAGCCCGAGCCTCCCCGACGAGCGCTGCCCCCTGCTCCACGGGGCCCAGTCCCATCGACCACCCAAGGGCTGAGGAGTGTGGGCACACGGCGCAGGACTGGCAAGCAGCTCCACCTGCGGCCCAGTACGGGATCCACTGGGTGAAGCCAACTGGGCTCCTGAGTCTGGTGGGGACTTGGAGAACCTTTATGTCTAGCTAAGGGATTGTAAATACACCAATCGGCACTCTGTATCCAGCTCAAGGTTTGTAAACACAACAGTCAGCACTCTGTGTCTAGCTCAGGGTTTGTGAATGCACCAATCGACACTCTGTATCTAGTTACTCTGGTGGGGACTTGGAGAACCTTTGTGTCCACACTCTGTATCTAGCTAATCTAGTGGGGACGTGAACTTTTGCGTCTAGCTCAGGGATTGTAAACGCACCAATCAGCACCCTGTCAAAACGGACCAATCAGCTCTCTGTAAAACAGACCAATTGGCTCTCTGTAAAGTGGACCAGTCAGCAGGATGTGGGTAGGGCCAGACAAGAGAATAAAAGCAGGCTGCCGGAGCTGGCAGTAGCAATTGGCTGGGGTGTTTTTCCGCTCTGTGGGAGATTTGTTCTTTCGCTTTTTGGGTCCACGCTGCGTTTGTGAGCTGTAACACCGTGAAGGTCTGCAGCTTCACTCCTGAAGTCAGGCGAGAAGACTACGAACCCACCTGGAGGAACGAACAACTCCAGACTCGCCGCATTAAGAGCGGTAACACCGCGAAGGTCTGCAGCTTCACTCCTGAGCCAGCGAGATCACGAACCCACCGGAAGGCTGTAACATATCTGAACATCAGAAGGAACAAACTCCGGACAGGCCGCCTTCAGGAACTGTAACACTCACCGCGAGGGTCCGTAGCTTCATTCTTGAAGTCAGTGAGACCAAGAGCCCACCAATTCCGGACACAACAGGACACACTGCGGCTTCTCCTGGCTTTTTCAAAGTTCAGCCCAAGAGGAAGAGAGACCTAATTAATACCCAGGAGATGGTGGTGTTTATTTTTTCCAGCTGGGACAACTAAGGCCCCGAGAGGAGAAAGGGACTATCCGGGGTACAGAGGCCACTGAGTCAGAGCTAGGACCAACATATCACCAGCTCTCCCTCTTCAGCGCAGACCCCAACTCACCAGCGGTGGCTTCCTGAAGAGCTGGGTTAAGGAGGATTCTGAGGTGCAGCAGAGCTCGCTAAGAGGCTGACGGGTAAGGGGTGCTGCGCTGTGAGCACAGGAGCCAGGTGGGTGTTGCCTGCCATCCCCTCTACCTCTCCCTCTTCTCTCTGCCACCTCGGTTTTTCTCCATCCTTTCACTCACCCCCGACCCGCCATTGTTTCACCTGCCTGGAAATGGCACCCTTCGTTGAGAGTAAGGATAGGGCCTCTGCTGTGCCCAGGCCACGTTTCTGGGCCTCTTTTTTCCTCTCCCAGGTCTGAAGGGGCCTCAGTTTGGGGTTCTTAAGGGCCCAGAGACCTGTGAACAGTTGCTCCCTCCCCTACTTAGTGGCCCACGTGGAACTCAAGAGTATCCCGCTCCGTGGCTGTTCAGAAATGCAGCAGCACAGCCCCCAGGCAGCAATCGTTCAGGAGCGCTGGGAAGCCCACAGCCAGCCTGAGCCCTCCGAGATGCCTCTAGACTCTGGGCCCGGGATCAATACTTGGGAGGGGGAGAGCAGATGTGAATGCGATGCGGGCACACGCACAGCGTGCTGCTGGAGGCCCAGCTCAGAGGAGCTGGGCCAGCCTCCCCCGCCCTCTCCTTTCTCCTTGCCTTGCGGGGGCCAAGAGGGCTGTGGAGGGCTCTGCTGGAGTCTGCCATCTGCTGCTGAAAACATCTGCGCTTGCTGCCTTCCACGCAGACGAGCTGTCCGTCCTTCCTCCTCCCCCTCTTCCGCCAAGGCTATTCAGACGGGCGTGCAGGCTGCGGGCAGAGGTCAGGAAGCTCCCCGGCCTGTCCAGGCACGAGACAGCAGGCACTGCCTCTTTGGTACCTAGGCAGCTGTGTCTGCGAGTCCCTGGCTCTCTCCCAGGTGCCCTGCTTTAAGAAAATCCAATAGGAACAAAGTCCTGTTTGCAAAGTGGACACCTGCGGGCAATGTATGTCTCTGTCTGCATTGCACAGAGATCATCCTGAGCGATTCAATGATTTTTTCTCTCTGTGGGTTCTAAGTTCTTAACCAGAAAAGGAGATGTTAATTGAATCACCTGGGAGGTTTTTCAACATGCACCCGGCCAGTCCCCATGTTTCCCACTCTCAGACAAAACAGGTTTGGGGAGAAGAGTTTGTTGAAAGAGGTCCCTAGCACCCAGTGTTGCTGACAGATCCCCTCCCCACCTCTCCCTGCTCTGCTACCCTTGCGCATTTCAGCTTTTATTTAAAAGTCAGTAACTACCTACAGTGGAGGAGGGGGCTTTAAAGCTGAACTGTTCTATCTCACTATGAATTAAAGATCAGTTAGAAATGAAATTTCAACACCCAAGAAAAGAATAGGTACATTTATTAGAAAATGGGAGTGCTGTATATTTAAATTTTTAAAATGTATACAGATTAGGTCCATAATTCATTGTTTCTATAAAATCATATCTGTGGCAAGCCCCTGCCTCCACAGAAACAATTTTATTTCATAGAGCAATCTATTTGTAAGCATGGAAGGACCATTATAGATCCTAACAGTGTCCTTTAAGAATGAGGACACAGAGTTGACCCACTTCTCCTAGTATATGTTGGAATTCCAAATTCTATCGGTTTATTTACTCATTTATTGAGACGGAATGTTGCTCTGTCGCCAAGCCTGGAGTGCAGTGGCGCAATCTCTGCTCACTGCAACCTTTACCTCCCAAGTTCAAGCGATTCTTCCACCTCAGCCTCCCGAGTAGCTGGGACTACAAGTGCGTACGTCATCGTGCCCAGCCAATTTCTTTTGTATTTTTAGTAGAGACAGGTTTTCACCATGTTGGCCAGGCTGGTCTCGAACTCCTGACCTCAAGTGATCCACCCGCCTCAGCCTCCCAAAGTGCTGGGATTACAGGCGTGAGCCACCGCACCCGGTCTCTATCAAGTTTATTTGTTTGTATCCACATGGAAAAGGTAAGCCCCCTTCTGCTCACAGGTACTATGTCTGCTTTGCTCACTGCTATATCCCCAGTGCCCAGAATGGTGTTTGTTGAATGAATGAATGAGCACATAGACAGGTCTACTGGTGGCTGTTGCATTGCAGGGATCTGTGAGAATGCACTGATGCGTACATCTGTGTCATTTTAATATGTCCACTTCTGTGCATGTCTGCATTACTAATGCATGTTTTTATGGATCGAGCATTCATTCTTAGAGATGACCTAAATATACATTCAATGCCGCCAGCTAAGAATTCTACCGAGGCTTCATGCATTGTTATTATATGTTATATGTTACAAATAAGGATACAAGGCATATATATTAAGCTTTCAAATCTTGGAAAATTAGTTCTGGAAGATGTTCTGAGAAGCAAATATTCCATGGTCAAATGAGTTTTGGAAATTCAGGATTAAAGAAAATGAAGTAAGTCTCTAAATATGGAATGTCTCAGAGACTTTAAATGCCAGAGTGTGCAGTGACTCTCTGAATATGGAAAGACTATACAGCTTTTTTTTTCTCTTTTCTTTTTTTTTTTTTTTTCTGCGCCTGGCCAGAATATACAGCATTTTTCAAACTCATTTGACTTTGGGACCCTTCTGGATCTCTCTTTTGGGGAGGATTTGGCAGTAAATGTAGGTAAATGCTGAACCACGACAATTTTGCTTGAAGTAAGAATTCATCTTGGCTGGGATTAGAAAGCTAGAGGCAGGTAGGGTTAAAGAACTTTTGACTGGGTGTGGTGGCTCATGCCTCTAATCCCAGCACTTTGGGAGGCCAAGGCAGGCTGATCACTTGAGGTCAGGAGTTTGAGACCAGCCTGACCAAGATGATAAAACCCCATCTCTACTAAAAATCCAAAAACTAGCTGGGTATGGTGGTGCACACCTGTAGTCCCAGCTACTCAGGAGGCTGAGGCAGGAGAATCGCTTGAACCTGGGAGGTGGAGGTTGCAGTGAGCCAAGATCATGCCCCTGCACTCCAGCCTAGGTGACGGCGGGAGATACTGTCTCCAAAAAAAAAAAAAAAAGTTTCTCCTTTTTCATTCACTCACTCATTCACCCAACACACATTGAGTTCCTACTCAGAGCCAGATCTTGTGAATGACACTGAAGAATATGAACATGAAGAAATGCGATGCCACCTCAACCTCACACAGTCCAGAAAAATCAGCCTATCAGGCCTCCCTGCTGCAAATGTCAGAAGCCCCATCAAACTGACAAGCCAGAATGTGGAAGTTATGGACAGAAACATCTGAGAAGACCATAGAATGAATGGGAAGGCGAAATACGAAATTATGATAAAAGCCCAAGGAACAGACAATGAGGGTTGGGGTGAACAGCGTAACCTGTGAAATAACTGGATTTGTCCATTCAGTCAGTACATGACCTTAGAATACTATCTTATTTCAGGCACTGTGGGGCGATGGGAGAAATAAATACAAGATATGGTTTGGACCCTGGAGGGGAGGTTATGTCTAGTGGATCCACTCAGAAACATCTTCTCAACAAGGCTAATCGACTTTGTCAGAAGCAAATACATCCCAGGATTGAAGGGACAAAAATGAAAATGGGTCTGTAAGACCTATGGTTCTTACAGAACTCAGAAAGGACACAGGAAAGACCAGCCAGCTCCTTTCCGTCCCGGCTGTCACAAGATCTACTGCCTTTGGGGGGGATGGGCAACTACGGAGTGACGGATTGAAACGCCGCACCTTGATTCTCTCATGATTACCGGAATAATTCCAGCCTAAGAGAGGAAGGAAATCGAACAAAACAAGAACAAGGGTGGGGTGGGAGCAACGGCTAAACAGAACAACAAATTATAAAATGCAGGATCCAGGCCCAAGCCGCACCATGCCAGGAGGGGGGAAAGAAACCAGCACAAGGAGCATGATGTGCCTGTTTGCAGAGATTCCGGAAAGATGAATGACCTCCCGAATGTGCTTTGGGAGCTGTGGCTCTCTAAAATGGCCTTCTGTGCCCCCTCAAATTCAACAGCAGCTGATGACAGTCGGAGCCATGAGCACAGGTCAGGGGCCCACAGGCTTGCAGAGGAAAGAGGTCTGAGTCAGTGGTGAGATTCGAGGTTGATATTTTATTAGTTTCTTCCTGGAATTTGTGGGTCTCCGAGTTGCAAACCCAAACCAAATGTTCCCTTTGAGCATTCCTGGCTGTGTAATTATCATTTGCGTTTGTGTAGGGATTGGAGGGAAAAGGATGGCTTAGAGTGTGTCTTTTCAAGCGCAGGCATTAGAAGGGTCTTCCAGGCAGCTGTGGCGGGGTAAACCGGGCCTGTGGAATACAACGTGCCATGAGAACACTCGGCCAGGCAGCAATCCACAAGGGCCACTTATACATGCGCATGACACAGGGAGACGCAGAGGTGGGGGATCAAGGGCCCGAATGGGGATCGCCAATTCCTCCATAAGGAAAGACAGGAGAGAAAATAGTTTGGTTTTGATTTTACTTTCAAGTGAGTTTCACACTGGGAAAACACTCCCAAAGATCCTGAACCAACCATGACTCCATTTCCCTCTCCTGAGTTTTTCAGGATGTCACCAGGTTCCCTATCAGACACGTCTGGTTTTTTGTTTTGTATTTTTGTGAGACGGAGTCTCACTCTGTCACCCAGGCTAGAGTTCAATGGCACAATCTTGGCTCATTGCAACCTTCACCTCTCAGGTTCAAGCTATTCTCCTGCTTCAGCCTCCTGAGTAGTTGGGATTACAGGCACGTGCCTCCACGCCCAGCTAATTTTTGTATTTTTAGTAGAGATGGGATTTCACTATGTTTGCCAGGCCAGTCTCGAACTCCTGGCCTCAAGTGATCCACCCGCCTTGGCCTCCCGAAGTGCTGGGATTATAGGTGTGAACCACCACGCCTGGCTGGACACATTCATCTTTAGACTCGTGCATGCTCCAGCCTGAGGGACGGTGCTAATGGTGAAATGCATTCATGATACTTGATATTCTGAAATGTGATTCATGACTGTTCCAACAGAACTTGCCCCTCCCAACCCCACTAAACCCCCATCTCCAGAGCTTTGTTTTAGAATTATTCCCATTTTACTGACAAGCTGAAGGTAGAAGGCAAGAGTCTGTAGTCAGCCAGGAACAGCTGACAACTTTAACACCCCAAATTTCAACTTCCATATTTCCTGTATCCCTCTAGGCCAGGAGTTGTCAAACTGTTGGCTGCAGGTCTACTGCCTGCAAGCTAAGAATGGTTTTTACATTTTACAGTGGTTGGAGGGGACCCAGCGTGGTGGCTCACACCTGTCATCCCAGCACTTTGGGAGGCCGAGGCAGGAGGATCACCTGAGGTCAGGAGTTTGAGGCCAGCCTGGCCAATATGGCAAAACCCTGTCTCTTTTAAAAATACAAAAATTAGCTGGGCATGGTGGCAGGTTCCTGTAATCCCAGCTACTCGAGAGGCTGAGGCACAAGAATCGGCTGAACCTGGGAGGTAGAGTCTGCAGTGAGCCGAGACCATGCCACTGCACTCCAGCCTGGGAGACAGTGAGACTCTGTCTCAATCAATCAATCAATAAAATGGTTGGAGTTGGAGGGGAGTCAAAAAAGAATAATACTTGATGACACATAAAAATTACATGGGCCAGGCTTGGTGGCCCACACCTGTAATCCCAGGAAGCTGAGGTGGGAGGATCGCTTGAGCCCGGGGATTCGAGACCAGCCTGGGCAATAGTGAGACCTTGTCACTCAAAAAATTAAAAAATTAGCCAGATGCAGTGACATGTGCCTATAGTCCCAGGTACTGAGGAGGCTGAGGCGAGAAGATGGCTTGGGCTCAGGAATTTGAGGCTGCAGTGAGCTATGATTGCGCCACTGCACTCCAGCATGGGTGACAGAGTTAAAGTTTAGCCTAAAGCTTCCCCCTTACATATTTTAAGTTCAGCCTAAAGGTTTCTCTGTACATCATGGACTATAATAAGTGGAGGAGGCCGGGTGCGGTGGCTCACGCCTGTAATCCCAGACCTTTGGGCAGCCGAGGTGGGCGGATCATTTGAGGTCAGGAGTTCGAGACCAGCCTGGCCAACATGGTGAAACCCCATCTCTACTAAAAATACAAAAATTAGCCAGGAGTGGTGGCAGGAACCTGTAATCCCAGCTACTCTACTCAGGAGGCTGAGGCAGGAGAGTCACTTGAACCCGAGAGGCGGAGGTTGCAGTGAGCCCAGATTGCGCCATTGCACTCCAGCCTGGGCGACAGAGCGAGACTCCGTCTCAACAAAAAAGTGAAGGTGTAAACTGACCGTAGCCTACACTTGTGCCAGTCACCAAGTTTTAGCCAATAAATGTAGCCAACTGTTTGAACTGTGTTCGAATAAGGCAAACGCCGAGCTGTAACCAGTCCGGCTGTGTCTGTACCTCACATCCATTTTCTGTACCTCGCTTTCCTTTTTCAGTCCACCAATCATCCACCACATGGCTGCGCTGGGGTCTCTGAGCGTACCTTGGCACAGGAGGCTGCCCAATTTCTGAATTGTTCATTGCTCAATTAAACTACTTTAAATTTAATCCAGCTGAAGTTTTTATTTTATCAAGAGCAAGACAATCTTGTCTCTAAATAATAAAATGAAATCAAAAGTAAAGTGTCTATGAATAAGGTTGTATTGGCCAATGGCCATGCCCACCTGTTTACAGATTGTCTATGGCTCATTTTGTGCCTTAGTGGCAGGGTTGAGTACAGTTGTCCCTCGGTATCCGTGGGGGATTGGTTCCAGGACCTCCCAGATTACTAAAATCCACAGATGCTCAAGTCCTTGATATAAAATGGTATAGTACTTGCATATACCCCTGTATACTTTAAATTTTCCCTGTATACTTTATATCATCTCTAGATACAATACCCAATACGATGTAAATGCAGTGTAAATAGTTGTTATGCTGTATTGTTATTTAATTTGTATTATTTTAGTTATTATTTTTATTGTTTTTGATATTTTTTATCTGCAATTGGTTGAATCCTTGGATTCGGAACCTGAGGATAGAGAGGGCTGGCTGTAGTTCCAACAGAGATCGTGTGTCCCGAAAAGCTGGAAATATTTACTATCTGCTCATTCCTAGGAAAAGTGTGTCAATCCTTGCTCTAGGCCACTGAGTACAGAGAAAGCAAAGGGATCCCCCTGGCTACCAAATAAAGTTGAAAGTCTTTAACACTGCACTTAAGAAATCTACAAATAGCCTCAACCCTCATTTTCAAGGTTATGCCTTCTCACTCACCTCATACCAAAGTCAATCTCAGAAATCCATCTACCATCAGTGTGAGCAGCGGCAAATCCATACAGGCCTGCAGCAACTTGATTCTTACCTCCTCAGAGGAAAGAATTCAGCTGAGGGCATAAGGCAGAGTGAAAGTCCAAGGCAAGTTTTAGAGCAGGAGTAAAAGTTTATTAAAACATTTGAGAGCAGGAACAAAAGGAAGTACACTTGGAAGAGGAGGACCAAGTGGGTGACTTGAGAGACCCAAGTGTGTTGTCCAACCCTTGACCTGGGGTTTTATACATTGGCTTGGTTCCGGGGTCTGCATTTCTTCTTCCTAACTCTTCCTTGGGGTGGGCTGTCCATATGAGCGGGGACCTGTGCATTCAGGAGGGTCCGCATGCACAGTGTGTTTACTGAAGTTGTGTGCATGCTCATGTGAGGCGTTCTTCCCTTACCATTCGAGCAATGCTAGAAGAAGGTCATAGATCAGTTAAACCCCAGCCATTTTGCCTCTTAATGCACATGCTGGAGCTCACTCGCCCAACTGCTGAGATCTTATCCAGAAGCAGTTATCACCAGCCTCAGGTGTTTTCTATCTATTGGGAGCCTGCCTTTCTGGCACCAGCTGTGACCAATTTTTATTTTATTTATTTAGTTATTTATTTATTGAGGCAAGATTTCTCACTCTGTCACCCAGGCTGGAGTGCAGTGGTGCATGATCTCGGCTCACTACAACCTCTGCCTCCCAGGTTCAAGCGATTCTCCTGCCTCAGCCTCCTGAGTAGCTGGGATTACAGGTGCCCACCACCATGCCCCACTGATTTTTGTATTTTTAGTAGAGATGAGGTTTCACCATGTTGGCCAGGCTGGTCTCGAACTCCTGACCTCAAGTGATCCACATGTCTCCACCTCCCAAAGTGCTGGGATTACAAGTGTGAGCCACCACACCTGGCCCAATTAGTATTTTAGAGAGAGAGTTTAACAACCACCTGACTATCACCTGATGGTCACTTGACATTCCTGTGGGTCGGGGTGGGGGCCCTTTCCTGCCCTGCTCATGTCTGCCTAGCTCCCTACTCTAACGTCAGTTCTTCCCCTACAGACTGCACTTCCCTGTGCTTAAAAAAAAAAAATTATTTAGGTGGAGCCAGGCGCAGTGGCTCACGCTTCTAATCCCAGCACTTCGGGACCCGAGGCAGGCTGCAGCTCAGGACCAGCCTGGCCAACATGGCAAAACCCTGTCTCTACTAAAAATACAAAAATTAGCCAAGCGTAATGGTACATGCCTGTAATCCCAGCTACTCAGGAGGCTGAGGCAGGAGAATTGCTTGAACCCGGAAGGCAGAGGTCACAGTGAGCTGAGATTGCACCACTGCACTCCAACCCAGGTGATGGAGTGAGACGCTGTCTCAAAAAAAAAAAATTATATATATATATATATATATTTAAGTGAAATTCACATAATAAAAAATCATATTAAAGGGTAGAATTCAGTGGGTTTTAGTATATTCACAATGTTGTACAAACCCCACTTCTACATAGTTCCAAAACATTTCAATGACTCCAGAGTAAAATTTCTCAACCTATTAGGCAGTTTCTCCAGTTTCTCCCCTGGCACCCAGGCCCTGGCAACCACAAATCTACTTTTTGTCTCTATGAATTTGCCTATTCTAGACATTTCCTCTAATGCTGTCATACAGTAGGTCACCTTTTATGCCTGACTTCCTTCACTTAGTATAATGTTTTCAAAGTTCATCCATGTTGTAGTATGGGTCAGTACTTGGTTCCTTTTTATAGCCATATAATATTCCATTGTATGAATAGCCCACAATTTGTTCAGCCATTCCTCCATCAATAGACATTCAGGCTGTTTTCACCTTTTGGCTACTGTAAGTAGTGCTGCTATGAACATTTGTGTTCAAGTATCTCTTTAAATACCCCTGTTTTCAGTTATTTGGGGTATATATCTAGGGGTGGATACGCTATATCACATGATAATTTTATGTTTAACTTTTTGAGGAACTGCCCAAAATGGCACAATGGCTGCACTGTATTTTTTCCAGAATGGCTGCTCTGTATTTATATTTGCACCAGCAACACATGAGGATTCCAGTTTCTCCACATCATCGTCAACACTTGTTATTTTCCTCTTTTGTTTCCCTGGTTATAGCCATCCTCCCGGGTGCAGTGGCTTGTCGCTGCTTTTGCCGCTGTGGTTCCTTCTGCCCATGTGCTCCTCCTCATCCCTTCATCTCTCAATAGTGCCGTCTCTCCAGGCTCAACTCAGAGCATGCACGTTGGGGGTTTCTACCCCCAATCTCATATCCCAGAGCACGTGTCTCCCCATGTGTGTTCCCAACTTCCTGAGCTTGTGCTTTTTTTTTGGTGAGGGAAGACATGGTCTCACTCTATCACCCAGGCTGGAGTGCAGTGGCATGATCTCGGCTCACTGCAACCTCTGCCTCCTGGGTTCAAGCGATTCTCCTGCCTCAGCCTCCTGAGTAGCCGGGATTACTGATGCATGCCACCAACCATGCCCAGCTCACTTTTTTTGTATTTTTAGTAGAGACAGGGTTTTCACCATGTTGGCCAGGCTGGTCTCATTGAACTCCTGACCTCAAATGATCTGCCTGCCTCGCCTCCCAAAGTGCTGGGATTACAGGCATGAGCCACTGCGCCCAGCCGAGCTTGTGCTTTAGAGAGGGGGAGAGAGAGAGAGAAAGAGAAAGAGAGCGAGATTGGATGGGTGGATAGATAGATAGATAATAGATTGATAAGACTTGATAGATTGATAGATGATAGATAAGATGATTGATAGAAGATAGATACGATGGATAGATGATTGATAGATGATAGATAAGATAGATGATTGATAGATAAGATAGATTGATGAAAGATAAGATAAATAGACTGATAGATGATCGGTAAAATACATAGATTGATTGATTTCGGGAGTACAGGTGCAGTTTTGTTATATGGATATATTGCATACTGGTGAAGTCTGGGGTTTAGTGTAGCCATCACCCGAATAGTGTACATTGTACCCATTAAGTAACTTTTCATCCCTCTCCCTCCCCCTCCCCACCCTTCTGAGTCTCCAATGTCTATTATTCCACTCTCTATGTGCATGTGTTCATATTATTTAGCTCCCACTTATAAGTGAGAACATGCAGTATTTGACTTTGTGTCTGTTATTTCACTTAAAGATAACTGCCTCTAGTTCCATTCACGTTGCTGCAAAGGACATGATTTCATTCTTTTACATGGCTGAGTAGTCTTCGTGTGTGTGTGTGTGTGTGTGTGTGTGTGTGTGTGTGTGAGAGATATTTATCCATTCATGTGTTCTGGATACTTAGCCTCTTTATCTTTGCTATTGTGAATAGTGCTGCGATATGGGTGCAGGTATCTTTTTGATACAATGATTTCTTTTCCTTCGGGTATATACACCAGTTTTGGGGTTGCTGGATCGAATAGTAGGACTATTTTTAGTTCTTTTGAGAAATCTCCCTACTGTTTTCCATAGAGGTTGTACTAATTTACCTTCCACCAGCAGTGTAGAAGTGTTCCCTTTTCTCCACATCCTCGCCAACATCTGTGATTTTTTTGCCTGTTTAATGATGGTCATCCTGACTAGAGTGAGATAGTATCTCACTGTGGTTTCAGTTTGCGTTTCTCTGATGATTAGCGATGTTGAGCATTTTTCACATGTTTCTTGGTAATTTGTGTGTCTCCTTTAACAAGATGTCTGTTCATGTCCTTTGTCCACCTTTTAATGGGGTTATTTGCCCTTTGTTGTTGTTGAGTTGTTCGAGTTCTTTGTAGATTCTGGATATCAGTCCTTTGTCAGATGCACAGTTTGCAAATATGTTCTCCCATTCTGCAGCTTGTCTGTTCACTCTGTTGATTATCACTTTTGCTGTGCAGAAGCTTTTTTAGTGAACTTTTGCTTTTACTGTAACACATGCCACATCCTGTCTTACATGACAGTTGGGTCCCTTGTTCTCATCTCCAGTAACTTTGCTTCCCCTCACTTCAGTGTCCAAGGGCCTGCCTTTCCTGCCAGGCTGTGAGGACCAGGAGCCCACAGCCGTGCCTGCATGCCTGTTTCAAGCTTGCTGTATACCCAACGCACAGCACAACAAATGCCTGTATTTTCTTTTTTTTTCTTTCTTTCTTTTTTTTTTTTTTTTTTTTGAGACAGAGTCTCACTTCGTCGCCCAGGCTGGAGTGCAATGGCGTGACCTCAGCTCAATGCAGCCTCCAAAAAAACAAACGAAAATATTTATAGCTACTTTTAATTACATGTAGATTAAGGGGCAGTTTATGCAGAAATTTCAAGGAAAGGGTGGTAGCATTTGGGTCCTCGGTCTTTGCCACGGAAAGGAGCAGTAACTCCCAGTGTTGCCATGGCAATGGTAAACTGTCAGCGCTCACAGGTGGGCGTGTCTTATGGAGAGGTGCTACTGCCCCATCCCTGTTTTAGCTAGTCCTCAATGTGGTCCAGTGTCCAAGCCCCACCCCTGGAGTTAAGTCCCGTCTCCTGCTTCACTGGTTCTAGGGAGCTCTGGGATAACCTGAGATCTCCCTTGTATCCGCCCAATATTGCCCTTACGTCCTTATGGATGTTGTTTCCAAGAACACACACCCATAAACCTGCACACAAATCTCTGCCTCAGAATCTATTTCCCAAGGGCGCCACCTAGGAAAGAAGGCATAACAAAGTTTGGGGGAAAATATTGTCTTGTCTTCTCCAGTAACCACAGACCAGCAGGCCCGTACATCTCAGCTTCTTCTTAACCTGGGTAACATCAATGCCTGTTCTGTTCCAGATAGGTTCTCATTCTGTTGATTAGATTTAATAGGGAGAATTGGGGGGCCTTCTGGTTTTCTGGCCAGCTTTTCCTATTGATGCCTTCCAAAGTCATTCAACTTCCTGCCTTGAGATGTATCAGTGACTTCCCACTGCTCTGGGGAAAGGCTGCATATGGCCCGGCTTTCTCTGTGTCCTCACCTTATCCACACATGCTTCCTGAGCTACATCTGAAGCTTGTCAATTGCTCATTTCCTCCACCACAGGGCCTTTGTATATGCTGTTTATGGTGCCCACACCCCACCGACCCCACCCCTTATTCACTGAATTAACTCTTGTTTATTCTTCAGATATTAATTCCGTTGTCTTTTCCTTGAGGCGACCTTTTCCCAGAGGCACAACTGCATAGTGTCCAGGGTCTATGATACCTTTAGGGGCCCAGAAAAAAAGGCTTAATTTCTTTTAAAATCAGAAGAGGGAGACAGTGACTATATTATGATGAATCCAACCTGGATTTATACCAACAAAGTTGCAAAATGTAATTTTTTTTAATGAGAAAAAGCCCCCGCCCACCCCCCTACAGGGCAAAAGTCCCTCAGACCTTTTCTGGCCTCCCCCTAACCCACCAGCACTGCTAGGTCAGGTCTTCCCTAAGTAAGATGCTTTCACTCTGCCCTGAACTCTTCTGCCTAGGCAGGTACCACGGTTGTAACTTGACATTTGGCCCCTAAACCACTAGCTGGATGAAGGCAGGGACCATGTCAGACTTATTCTCTGTGCAACACCGAGTCTACACAGCACTTGGCTCTTATTATATGCTCAATAAACATTTGCTGCAAGTATGACTAAGCGAAAATGATCAGACTTCACAATCATCCCACAAGAACACTCATTCCATCTATTATTTTTTTGTTTCTTTTAGAGGCAGGGTCTTATTCTGTTGATTCTGTTGCCCAGGATGGAGTGCAGTGGCACCATCTAGTTCACTGCAGCCTTGACCTCCTTGGATTACACGATCCTCCTGCCTCAGCCTCCCAAGTAGCTGGGACTACAGGCTCACCCCACTGCACCCAGCAAATTTTTAATTTTTTTTTTTGTAGAGATGAGGTCTTACCATGTTTCCCAGGCTGATCTCAAACTCCTTGGTTTCAGGCAGTCCTCCTGCCTCAGCCTCCCAAGGCCTTGGGATTACAGGCGTGAGCCACTGCACCCGGCCCACACTCCATCTACTTCTAACTCCCTGCCTCTCCTGCAGGCCAGAGGGGAGGGGAGGGGAAAAGCCTGCAAGACGGAAACCAGGAGGAAAGACTCACAATGGACGTGAGAGAATTGGTGGTACTCAACCTTTCTCCCTGATAGGGGAGTCAGGCCGGGGGAGGTGGGTGGCGGCAGAGATTTAGCGTAAACAAACATTTCCTTGTCTGGTAGGTCATTTTGTAATTATATGCAGGTCAAGCTCTTTAGAGCTCCCGGAAATCAGACAATATCTGCCTGCAGAGAGGCCAGTCCTGCTCCAGGGCCCCCAGCGTGGAGGGGACTTTCATCAGAAGATCTTTCCCTATCCAGGCAGGAATCTAAGTGACCGTCCGGTGTGAAACAACGAAGCCAGCAAAAAGCAATAGGAAGGAGAGCCGACCTCAGAGTTCAGAAGATAAGCGGGGGAACAAAATGAATACGTGAACTTGGGGAAAACGGGCTGAGCCTGAAGCCCTGGGCAAGGTTCTCTGGGGAAAAGGGGATGACATTGACCTTGGCCTTCATGCTCTCGGGAGGGACGCTGGCAAGAGTGATGGAGAGAGGCACCTTTGTACATAGGACATTCCAAGCCACCACTTGGTACTCTCCATGGATGGCAAATGTGTCAACTTTGAGAGAGGATAACAGACCATTAAGAGAAAGCAAAGGAGGCTGTTGCCAGAGGTGGAAATTGGTTCTTGCCAACTAACTGCCCTCCTTCAATTTCACTCGGTCAAGGCAGTGGGGATTTTTCAAATCATCCTCATGGCTGTGGTTCCAGCACCACCCTGGGAGGGATGGGGTTGCAGGGTAAAGACTATAAAGAAGAGGGCTGGGTGCAGTGGCTCATGCCTGTAATCCCAGCACTTTGGAAAGCTAAGGTAGGCAGATCACTTGAGGTCAGGAGTTCAAGACCAGCCTGGTCAACATGGTGAAACCCCATCTCTATTAAAAATACAAAAATTAGCTGTACGTGGTGGTGTGTGCTTGTAATACCAGCTACTCGGGAGGCTAAGGCAGGAGAATTGCTGGAACCCAAGAGGCAGAGGTTGCAGTGAGCCAAGATCGTGCCACTGCACTCCAGCCTGGGCAACAGAGCAAGACCCCATCCACCCCCTTCCCTCCCAAAAAAAAGGCTCATGCCTATAGTCCCAGCTATTCAGGAGGCTGAGACAGAAGGATTGCTTGAGGCCACCAGTTCAAGGCTGCAGTGAGTTATGATTGCACCACTGCATTACAGCTGAGGCAACAGAGCGAGACTTGACTCAAAAGAAAAAAAAATTGATGGAATTTTGGCCGTATGCAGTGGCTCACGCCTGTAATCCCAATACTTTGGGAGGCTGAGGCAGGCGGATCACCTGAGGTCAGGAGTTTGAGACCAGCTGGACAACAGAGCATGACCCCATCTCAAAAAAAAAAACCCAAAAAACAAAACAACAACAACAACCAAAAAAAACCACAGAAGAGGCTTGACTGACAGCCAAGGAGAAAACTTAACGACACACACACACACAAAACCCCGAACTGGTAGCAAACAGGATGGACTGGTGGCTGCATGCCAAAGTCCTTTGGGTTCACATTTGACTTCAGCTTAGAGGGACAGTAGCCAGCGTTTCCCTTTGTCGGAACTAGGCAGATTATGGGAAGAGGCTCTGGCACTCTTAAAATTCCCCTGCCCTCACAGACCTAAAATTAACATCACTGTTTATAGTGCTGGCTGTGGATGTAGAATATCATATTACAGTAGTAAATGATACGATAAAGATATAGTAATCCAATATTGGAAATCTGAACTGACTATGACTACCAATTGCTTATGCATTTAACAGGTCATAATTATTAGCACTTACATCACTGTCCTTTGTGTTCAAGGATGACACCAACGGATACTGTCTCTACATGTGGCCAAGATCACGAAAGCATGAGAACTGTGTAATCTTTCTCTTTAAACAGCATTTTGAGATATAATTCATATACCATGCAATGCATGCTATTCAAGGGCTTTTGGAGTATTCACAGAGCTGTGCAACCATCACCACAATCTAATTTTAGAGCAGCTTTTTCTCCTCTAAAAGAACCCCCCCTCCCAAAAAAAAAAAAACCCCAAAAACCCCATACCAATAGCAGTTAGTCCCAAGTTCCCCTTTCTTCCACCCCCTGGTAACCATTTTCTGCCTCTGTGCCTTTGCCTAGTCTGTGTATTTCATATAAATAGTCATGCAATATGTGGTCTTTGGCAATGGCTTCTTTCGCTTAGCGTAATGTTTTCAGGGCTCATCCACGCTGTAGCATGAATCAGTACCATATACTTTATTCATTTTCTTTATTTTTTTCTCTTTTTGACTTTTATTTTAGAATCAGGGGTACACGTGCAGGTTTGTTACAAAGGTATATGACGTGATACTGAGGTTGGAAGTATGAATGGATCCCTCACCCCCAGTAGTGAGCATAGTATCCAATAGGTAGGTTGTTTTCAACCTTACTCCCTTCCCATCCTCCCTCCTCTTGTATTCCCCAGTGTCTGTCATTCCCGTTTTTATGACTATGTGTACCCAAAGCTTAGCTCCCCCTTACAAGTGAGAACATGCAGTATTTGATTTTCTGTTTCTGTGTTAGTTTGCTTAGAAGAATGGTTTCTAGCTGCATCCATGTTGCTGTAAAAGACATGATTTTTTTCCTTTTATGGCTGTGTAGTGTTCCATGGTGCCTATGTACCACATTTTCTTTATCCAGCCCACCATTGATGGGCACCTGGGTTGATTCCATGTCTTTGCTATTGCTACTTTTTTTATTGCCAACTATTATTCCATTGTATGGATATGCCATGTTTTGTTTATCCATTCACTGGCTTGACTTTTCTTTTTCTTTCTTTCTTTCTTTCCTTTTTCTTTCCATACATATAAGACGTACATATTTTGAGGGTACCTGTGATAATTTGATACAACCATATAATCAAATCAGGGTAATTGGGATGTCCATCACCTTAAATAATTATCTCTTTTTATTATTATTATTTTTAAGACAGAGTCTTACTCTGTTGCCCAGGCTGGAGTGCAGTGGCACAATCTCGGTTCACTGCAACCTCCACCTCCCGGATTCAAGCAATTCTCGTGCCTCAGCCTTCTAAGTAGCTGGGATTACAGGTGCCCACCATCAGGCCTGACTCATTTTTGTATTTTTAGTAGAGATGGGGGTTTCACCATGTTGGCCAGGCTGGTCTCAAACTCCTGAGCTTAAGTGATCTGCCCACCTCGGCCTCCCAAAGTGCTGGGATTACAGGCATGAGCCACTGCACCCAGTCTATTTATCTTTTCTTTATACTAGGAACCTTTGAATTATTCTCTTCTAGCTATTTTGAAATGTGCAATTGATTTATTTGACTATAGTCACCCTACTACTATATTGAACGCCAGATCTTATTTCTTCTAAGTATATCTTTGTACTCATTAATCAACCTCTCTTCGTTCCCCTTCTTCTTACTTTAACTTTCTAAAGAAATGCCAGATTGTTTGCCAAAGGGGATACACTATTTTATGTGCTCACCAGCAATGTTGAAGGGTTCAGTTTCTCCACATCCTTGCCAACACTTGTTCTAGTCTATCTTTTTTATTACAGCCATCCCAGTGTGTGTGAAGTGGTCTCATTGTGGATTTCATTTGCATTTCCCTAATGGTGAATGATGAACATATCTTCATGTGCTTATTGCCTTTTGTAGATCTTCTTTGGAGATATGTCTATTCAAATCTTTTGCTAATTTTGTAATTGGGTTGTCTTTCAATTATTGAGTTGTAAATGTTCTTTATTTATTCTGGATACAATTCCTGGATCAGATATATGACTCATGATTTTCTTTTTCTTTTCTTTTCTTTTTTTTTTCTGAGACAGGGTCTCACTCTGTCACCCAGGCTGGAAGTGCAGTGGCACAGTCTTGGCTCGGCTCACTGCAGCCTCAACCTCCTGGGCTCAAGTGGTCCTCCCACCTCTGCCCCTCAAGGAGCTGGGACTACAGGTGTGTGCCACCACACCCAGCTAATTTTTTTTGTATTTTTTGTAGGGATGAGGTTTCACTATGTTGCCCAGGCTGGTCTTGAACTCCTGAGCTCAGGCAATCCACCCACCTTGGCCTCCCAAAGTGCTGGGATTACAGGCATGAGGCACCACACCCGGCTGATTCACAAACACTTTCTTCCATTCTGTGAGTTATCTTTCACTTTCTTGATGGTGTCATTTGCAACACAAAGGTTTCTTATTTTTAAGTCATCCAATTTATGTTTTATTATCTGACTTGTGTTTTTGGTGTTGTATCTAAGAATTCATTGCCTAATTCAAGGTCATGAAGATTTACTCCTGTGTTGTTTTTTGTTACTTTATTTTTTTAGAGACAGGGTCTGGTTCATAGCTCACTGCAGCCTCAAGCTCCTGGGCTCAAGTGATCCTCTTGCCTCAACCTCCCAAGTAGCCGGAACTACAGACACACACCACCTTGCCCACTAATTTTAAAAAATTGTTTTTCTGTAGAGACAGGGTCAGCTATGTTGCCCAGGCTAGTCTCAAACTCCTAGCCTCAAGTGATCCTTCTGCCACGACCTCCCAAAGCACTGGGATTACAGACGTGAGCCACCACCCCCAGCCTCCTGTTTTCTTCTAAGTGTTTTTTTGATTTTTACAGTTTTAGTTCTTACATTTAGGTATTTTATTTGTTTCTGTGTATGGTCTGAGGTAGGAATCCAAATTCATTCTTTACATGTGGCTATCCAGTTGTCCCAGTACAGTTTGTTGAAAACACTATTTTCCCCCATTGGATTGTCTTCCCAGCCTTGTCAAACAAAGCAATTAACATCATATGGTAGTTCTAGTTTTAATGTTTGGAGGAACCTCCATAGTGTTTTCCATAGTGGCCACAGCAATTTATATTTCCACCTACAGTGTACAAGAGTTCCCTTTTCTCCACATCCTCATCAATTCTTATTTATTTATTTATTTATTTATTTTAGTAATAGCCATTCTAACAGGCATAAAGTGATATTCCACTTCTGGGTATACATCCAAAGGAACTGAAATCAGGATACTGAAGAGATATCTGCACTCTCATGCATGCTGCAGTATTATTCACAATGGCCAAGACATAGAAGCAACATAAGTGTCCATCCATAGATGAACGGGTAAAGATAATGTGGTATAGACATATAATGGATTGTTATTCTGCCTTGAAAAAGAGGGAAATCCTGCCATTTGCAACAAGATGGATGAACACAGAGGACATAATGCTAAATGAAATGAACCAGGCACAGAAGACCAAGTACTACATTATCTCTCTTATACAAGCAACCTAAAATAGTCAAACTCATTTTGATAATCATTGCCAGGAGCTAGAGGGAGGAAGGAGAATGGGGAGATGTTGGTCCAAAGGTAGAGTTTCAGTTATCCAAGATGAATAAGTCGTAGAGACCTACTGTACAGCGTGGTGCCTATAGTTTATAATATTACATTTTATACTTAAACATTTGCTAAGATCTTATGTTTAGTGTTCTTACCACCAAATAATAATAATATTATAGAGGGCTGGAGGAAACTTTTGGAGGTGACAAATATGTTTATAGCACTGATTGTGGTGGTGGTTTCACAGGTGTACACTTATTTCCAAACTCATCAAGTTGCATACATTAAATATATACATTTTTTGTATGCCAGCCATACCTCAATAAATTGGTTTTTAAAAAATAAATGGACAAGCTGGATTCAGTGACTCATGCCTGTAATCTCAGCACTTTGGGAGGCCAAGGCAGGAGGATCATTTGAGTCCAGGAGTTCGAGACCAGCCTGGGCAACATAGTGAGACCCCGTCTCTACAAAAAATTTTAAAAATTAGCCAAGCATGATGGCGTACACCTGTAATTCCAGCTACTTGGGAGGCTGGGAAGATCGCTTGAGTCTGGGAGTTTGAGGCTGCAGTGAGCCACGATTGTGCCACTGTACTCCAACCTGTGTGGCAGAGGGAGATCCTGTCTCAAAAAAAAAAAAATCAATTGACATGATTTAATAGCTTCTAGACTGCAAACTCTGCATATCTTAACAGTATGTGATACAGTTCATGCTCTACACTTTGTGTTACCTTTTCCTAAAAGGCAGCTTTGCATGGAGAGATCACGGCAGCCTGTGAGTTGGAATGGTGGAATTTGTGATGATGCAATACTTTATTTGAAAAAGTAAAATTGCTTAGCTAGGCAATACCTTTGATGTGATAACTTTGCAATGCATGTTAATTTGCATGTATGCCATTTATTTATTTATTTATTTATTTATTTATTTATTTATTGTTGAGACGGAGTCTCACTCTGCACCCAGGCTGGAGTGCAGTGGCGCCATCTCAGCTCACTGCAGCCTCCGCCTCCCTGGTTCAAGCGATTCTCCTGCCTCAGCCTCCCGAGTAGCTGGGACTACAGGTGCACGCCACCACACCCAGCTAATGTTTGTATTTTTAGTAGAGATGGGGTTTCACCATGTTGGCTAGACTGGTCTCCAACTCCTGATTTCAGGTGATCCTCCTGCCTTGGCTCCCCAAAGTGTTGGAATTACAGGTGTGAGCCACCGCCCCCGGTCTGTATGACCTTTTATAAGATGGTCCACACGCAGAGACTGCAAACTAGGGGCTCTGGGGCCCAATTCACCCCCACAGGCATGCTGTGTTGGGCCAATATATTTTAAAATTATTTTATCCAACATTTAAAAAATTATAAACAAAAATCTTGATTTCTTCTTTCTCTTGCAAGTGTAGGAGCTCTAGTTCCATGAGTAGTTGCCCTCTGAGGTGGAGCAATCACTCTCTCCCTGGTTCTGAAGCCAGGCTCAGCTGTCATTCACCATTCACATCGTTTTACTAATGGTGGAGAAGCATATTTTGCAGCTAGGCCTCCACCAAATGTGAGAACATCTAGTTGAGCAAGCCTCCAGACAAATGGAGAAGGTATATTTGTTGTAAAGAAAAGGAATATTTTGGCCGGGCGCAGTGGCTCACGCCTGTAATCCCAGGATGTTGGGAGGCCGAGGCGGGCGGGATTTGGAGATAGTGATGAACAATATTACTTTTTATAAGAACTCATTCAGAAAAAAAAAATGTTTAGAAGCTGTCTTTTCTCATTAAAAATTTAAAAAGAAAAAAAAAACCCTCTGTGTCCCACAAGGAGATAAATTGTAATTCTTACAACTTAATTACTTTACTGACCAGAAGATATTTCAAAAGTTTGTTCTGCTTTAAAGCCACTAAAACGTTAATGGCCGCACACAACTGAGACGTGTTCATAGGAGCAAAGGGACAGCCAGTTGTTCAAACTTTCCAACTGCAGAGCTCGCTGGGGTTCACCAAGTGCCAACACATCCATTATTCTCTGTATTCTAGAAACTTCTTAAAACAGTCCCCACAGGTAGGTATGATGATGGAGAAAGCGTGGCTTAGATGTGTGAAGGTCCCAAAGCCACCTGTATCAAGTCAGTGGCAGGGTTGGGAAGAATGATTTCATTGCATACAATGCAACAATTACCAAGTAACTATGATTCTGGTTCTGCAAGAAGCACTGGGAAGATAGAGGGAAATACAATGTACCAATCTCTCCTTAGAGGGTCTCTGTGCTTGGCTTAGAAAGGACTGGCCCTGTTGTGCACCATGTCTCCAGTAGAACCAGCCCAGAAGGGTTTGCTGTCTGGGTTCTGGTAGCTTCTGCAGGTGGAGGCCCCAGCTTGCTGTGACACTGGCTCTCCCTTCGAGATTCCCCGCCCCCCACCCCCGAGTCAGGTGAAGCCAGGTACAAGGGAATCTAAAGAGGCTCCCCTCAAAGCCAAAAAATTAAGCCAGGCCCCTATACCACTCCTTTCACCAAAATAAATTTCAAATGCTTAGAGTTCAATTTAAAAATGAAAGCCATAAAAAGGCTGAGAAGAAAAAAAAATGGGTCATTAAAAATATATATAATCGTGGAGAGGCAAAGGCAAACATGAACCCAAAACCCATAAAGAAAAAATTAATATTTCCAACTACATAAAAATGAAAGTCCTCTATATGGTGAAAAAAATTACAAAGACAAACTGTAAATGGGAAAAATCTTTGTAATGCATTTCTTTAGTGTCCAAAGAGCTCTTATATATCTCTGTGAATAAGACAAAGCCGAAACATGAAATGTACAAAGGACACAAAAAAGCAGTTCATAAAAGAAATATAAATGGCCAATAAACCCATGAAATAATGTGCTCATAATGCATGGGAATTTAATTGAGCTAATTTTTCAGCAGTCAGGTTGGCAAAGATGAAACAGGTTGATGAGGCCCGGGGAGGGGAAAATTGGGGATGAACACTTTTCATGCATTCTTGGGGGAGTGTAAATTGGTGCTGTTGTTTGGAATGCAATTTAGCAATATCTACCAAAATTCAAAGTATGTGTACCCCATGACCAGCCAGTCCACTTCTAGGAGTTCGTTCTACAGATAAACGTTTGCTCAAGCACTCCAAGACGTACATACAAGGATGTTTTGACAGCAGCTCTATTTGTAGGAGGGCACACACAGCCTGAATATCCATCGGTAAGCAAATGATGAAGTAACTAACATGAAATTTCTGCCATGTAAAAGAATGAAGGGCCAGGTATGGTGGCTCACGCCTGCAGTCCCAGCACTTTGGGAGGCCGAGGTGTGTGGATCACGAGGTCAGGAGATCGAGATCATCCTGGCCAACATGGTGAACCCCCGTCTCTACTAAAAATACAAAAATTAGCTGGGCGTGGTGGTGCACTCCTGTAGTCCCAGCTACTTGGGAGGCTGAGGCAGGAGAATTGCTTGAACCCGGGAGGTGGAGGTTGCAGTGAGCCGTGATCACACCACTGCACTCCAGCCTGGCAACAGAATGAGACTCTGTCAAAAAGAAAAAAAAGAATGAAGAAGGCTATATGTACTGATATGGAAAGATCTCCAAGAAATACTGATATGCAAAAAAAACAGACTAGTCCTGATTAGTCCATCTAAGAAGAGAGGTACATTGTATTTCTCTCCGTCTTCCCAGTGCTTTTTGCAGACCCAGAAACATGGTAGTTGCTTGGTAATTGTTTCATTGTGTGCAATGAACTCTTCTTCCCAACCCTGCCACTGACTTGATACGGGTGGCTTTGGGACCTTCAGCACATCTGAGCCATGCTTTCCCCATCATCATCCCTACCTCTAGGAGCTATTTTAAGAAGTTTCTAGAATAAAGAGAATAATGGAAGTGTTTGCACTTGGTGAACCCCAGCAAGCTCTGCTGGACTGAGCATCCCTTCCTTTGCCTTATTTCAGTTCCAGCACGAGGTCAGGGCTAATTTACCAACTGAATAAACTTGGGAAAGTCACTCAAGGTCTCTGTGTGCCTCAGTTTCCTTCCCCATGAAGTGGGAAACCATAGTGCCTGGTATCATAGGATTCAGTGGGATGATGCATGGGAAGCAGTTTTAAAAGCTTCTGATACCTAGTGCTATAGTTTGAATATCTGTCCCCTCCAAAACTCACGTTGAAATTAAATCCCTTAATGTGGCAGTACTGGGAGTTGAGGCCTTTAAGACGTGATTGGGTCATGAGGACTCTGACCCAATCAAAATGGATTAATCCATTCATGGGTTAGTGGATTAATGGGTTGTCATGGGATTGGGGCTGGTGGCCTTGTAAAAAGAGGAAGAGAGACCTGAGCTGGCACAGTCAGCACCCTCACTAGGTGAAGCCCTCCACCACCTGTGGACTCTATAGAGCATCCCCTCTAGAAAACGGCCCTCACCTGTTGCAGCCCCTTGACCTTGGACTTCTCAGCCTCTGGAAGGGTAAGAAATAAATGTGTTTTCTTTATAAATTACCCAGTTTCAGGTATTCTTTTATAAGCAACAGAGAATGGACTAAGACATCTAGTAGGAACTATCTAAATATTGGAGTTTAAACGTTTGTTTCACAAAGCAAAGGAACATGAGAGACAGGTGTATACAGCATGCTATATAGCTCTTGTACTTACAGGAAAAAGAGAAATAATACCTGCAAGTATTCGTTTGCATATGTATAACTCCCTTTGCATAAACACAAGAAAATGGTGTCACTGGAGGAGAAATCAGTGGCCAGGGTCAGCAGGGAAGAGAGATTTTTCACTGTTAAACCCTTTTGAGTGTTAAACCATATGCACGTACTAACTGTTCAAAAATAGATAAAATTAAAAATTGGCCAGGTGTGGTGGCTCATGCCTATAATCCCAGCACTTTGGGAGGCCGAGGCGGGCGGATCACCTGAGGCCAGGAGTTTAAGATCAGCCTGGCCAACATGTTGAAACCCTGTCTCTACTGAAAAAACACAAAAATTAGCCAGGCGTGGTGGCGCACGCCTATACTCCCAGCTACTCAGGAGGCTGAGGCAGGAGAATCGCTTGAACCTGGGAGGCGGAGGTTGCAATGAGCTGAGATCATGCCACTGCACTCCAGCCTGAGGAACAGAGTGACACTCTGTCTCAATTTAAGGAAGGGAGGAAGGAGAGAGAGAGGGAGGGAGGGGGGGAGGGAGAGAAGGAAGAAAGGTAGGAAGGAAGGAAGGAAACATATTGCTTAGCATATATTTCATATAATAATCAAATGATGCTACTGGATGGCTCTGCGTTTCTTATTTTTACCTCTTCTGGTCTTCAAAAAACCTGTTCCTTCTACCCTGTACTAACCTCCTTCTTCCTCTTCTATCAGAAAACTTCTCATGAAACCTTCCCTGACACCCCTCCCTTTTGTATTCCCATAGTATTAATTCATTTGTTCATGGTGACAATCATCACGTTGACTCTAGTTATGTTAAATGTCAACCTGCTTCCTCTAGACTGGAAAGTCTGCAAGGGCTATGTCTTATTTATCACGTAGTACAGATCCAGGCAGAGTAGATGCTCAACAAATGTTTTTTGGATTTTTTCTTTTTCTTTTTCTTTTTTTTTTGAGACAGATTCTCACTCTGTTGCCCAGGCTGGAATGCAGTTGCACAATCTCAGCTTACTGCAACCTCCACCTCCCAAGTTCAAGAGATCCTCCCACCTCAGCCTCCCAAGTAGCTGGAACTACAGGCATGTGCCACCACGCCCAGCTAATTTTTATATTTTTAGTAGAGCCAGGGTTTCATCATGTTAGCCAGGCTGGTCTTAAACTCCTGGCCTCAAGTGATTCACCTGCCTCGGCCTTCCAAAGTGCTGGGATTACAGGTGTGAGCCACCATGCCCGGCCAACAAATGTTTTTTGAACAAATACATTTGCTTAACTATCCTCAGTGAACCTCTGGGCACCAACTTTATCATTTTCATCATGAGAAGGAGATTCACTGAGAAAAACAAAATATGCTTCCAATCCAAGGAAGCAGAAAAGGGCTGCTGCCAACTCCAAGTGGCTGGTCTTTTGTCTAAAAGAAAGTTACACAGACCTTTGCTGTTGGTTTCCATAATACTTTGCCATTTCTCACATACAAGACTCCCATTTAATGCATACGTGTTTACATACAATGTAACCCCTGGGCACAATAACGTTGCCTTCTCTTTCAAATGGAATGGTTATGACAAAATGGAGAGGCAAGGCGTACCATTTTACTTTCCAGTTACAGTTGTACTATAGCACCAACACAGAGAAATATCAACCTTGTTCTCTTCCTGTCTGCGACTGGGAAAACATCAAAACATGTTTCTAGATTGTGGCTAGAGACAGACAAACGTCTCCCTGGCTGGACCCGGAAGGCCCAGCGTCAGCCTGGAGTAGGTTTTACAGCCATGGTGGAAACCCTTGAAATGGGAGGTGCATGTGGAGACAACTGTTCCATGATGTCTGGAACAGCCAGCTGGGTGGGTGGGGATGGAGGGGGTCCCAGCACCCTGGGCTCAGACGGAGGGAGGGAGGCATGGTAGCCTTTGGATCTTTGCATGACTCTGGGATCTGGGTCCCCACTGTCGAATTGAGCATTTTATAGTATAGGTTATGGAGCTGTGGAAAGAAATGAAAGAATAAGAGAGCAAAGGAAGGAAAGGGTAAGAAAGGCTGGGCATGGTGGCTCACGCCTGTAATCCCAGCACTTTGGGAGGCTAAAGCAGGAGGATCATTTGAGCTCAGGAGTTTGAGGCTAGCCTGAGCAACATGGTGGAGACCCTCATCTCTACAAAAAAAATACAAAAACTAGCAGGGCGTGGTGGCGCGCTCCTGTGGTCCCATCTCCTTGGAAGGGTGAGGTGGGAGGATGGCGTGAGCCCGGGAGGTCCAGGCTGCAGTGAGCTGTGATCGTGCCACTGCACTCCAGCCTGGGTGACAGAACAAGACCTTGTCTCAAAAACAAAAAGAGAATGGCAAGAAGGAAACTGTATTTAATTAGCAGCTCCTACATCCTACATGCCTAGCACTGTGCTGGGAGCATTGATATCATCTCATTTCATCCTGATGTCCATTCTGGGAGATGGGCATTCCTATTTTGCAGATAAGGGAACTGAGGCCAGGGAGGGCCACACACAGAGAAACGTGGCCTGTAGCACAGTTAGAATTCCACCCCGCTCTAAGTGGCTCCAATCTTAGCCCTTTTAGGCTACTCCCTGGAGCGGCAAGAGACAGGGGCAGGATTTCCCTTCTGCAGGGAAGGAGCGCCCTCCCTCTGGTGCCCAGGAGACTCAGTGCAGGGGAAGCCAGCTGCATCCGCGTGGCCTCTGCTCCTAGGGAAAGCACGTGCAAAAGCAGGGGAGGAAGTGGCAGTGCCCCCTGGTGTTGGGCGGACCACACACACCTCCTCAGCTCAGACCCATGCAGCAGCTTTAGGGGCTATCTCCTCTCTCCGGACACCTCTTTCTCTCGAAGGCTGCCCTAAATGTCCATTTTGATCAGATTTCGACCTCATCACAATGGAGGACTATGTCATTCACTCTGTACTCAACCAGGATTCTAGGGGTGGCCCAGCGGTCATAAGGCACAAAATGAGGCAGTGCTTGGCATGCGGCGGGTGTGGACGTTCGCAGAATGAGGATCCAGAGCTCTTTCCTCTCAAAGGAATGGCCGTCACCTGCAGTAGGGCAGAGGCTCTCTGATCCCAAGTACATGTGTGCTGAAAGAGTGTTTCTGCGCTGCTCCCACATCTTTTTTTTTTTTTTTTTTTATTTGAGACAGAGTCTCTTGTTGCACAGGCTGGAGTGCAATGGCATTATCTTGGCTCACCGAAACCTCTGCCTCCTGGGTGCAAGCAATTCTCCTGCCTCAACCTCCTGAGTACCTGGGATTACAGGCATGCACCACCACGCCTGGCTAAATTTATATTTTTAGTAGAGATGAGGTTTCTCCATGTTGGTCAGGCTGGTCTCGAACCCCCGACGTCAGGTGATCTTTCTTTCTCGGCCTCACTAAGTGCTGGGATTACAGGCGTCAGCCACGGTGTCTGGCTGCTCCCACATCTTTAAAGAGGTGTGGCTCACCCACAGAAGCAGGCGGTGGTGGGGTGGGGTGGGTGGGTATCCCCTGGTGGGGAAATAAAAAACAAAGTTTGTGTATAATCGATGCATGATGTCATATTTTGGGTCAGATAAAAGATTTTCCGGTCTTCATACTACTAAAGAGCCTTTCTACAAGTTTACTTTTCAGTATAAGTGCTCAGTAATCAGAAAAGAATACAATTCTGAATAAGCCCCTGCTTTAAAACAGAATCTTGGGGCCGGGCACAGTGGCTCAGGCCTGTAACTCCAGCACTTTGGGAAGTCAAGGCAGGAGGATTGCTTCAGGTCAGGAGTTCAAGACATGCCTGGGCAACATGGTGAGACCCTATCTCTACAAAGAATTTAAAAAATTAGCCAGGCACAGTGACATGCATCTGTAGTCCCAGCACTTTGGGAGTCTGAGTCAGGAGGATCACTCGAGGCCAGGAGTTCGAGGCTGCAGTGAGTTAAGATCATGCCACCGTACTCCAGCCTGAGCAACGAAGCCAGACCCCGTCTCTAAGACAAACAAAACCAGAATCTTGTGCAGTCCTGCTTCCCCACAACAAAGAATGAATCCCAGTTTCAGAACACCTGTTCCAGCTCTGCAACTTCCTGGAAAATTTTCCCTTGTCTTTGTTTGCCTCAGTTTCTCCTATCTGTAAAATGGAGCCAGGCTATCTACCATTTGTGAAAAGATTCAAGGAAACTTAAGGCTCTTAAGCTTTCAAGTACCCTAGACTAGGAGTCCTCATCACCACTAGCTAATTTCACCTTCAAAGCACTCTAGCGTTAACCAGACCTGCCTAATTACATTGCAGGGAAATGGCATGCGTTGGTTTTGCCTGAATATGACAGAAATTGGGGTGGCCATCTGTCAAAAAATGTTCCTGTGCCCGAGAGATAGATATATAAACTCTAAGTCCTATCTGATTATCAGTGAAGGTTGCGTGTGGTTTTTTAAGGTCTAAATACCGGGTGCATGATAAAAGAACAGTTCCTTTTTTGCAATATGCCAGCTGTCATGGGTTTCCAGGCAAGACATTATTTCTGATAAATAGATATGGACAATAGATAATGTCTATATTAATATTACTAAAAAGTGGTCCTCTCCTGCAGTTCACCCGAGACGAGGACGACCGTGTATAAAGAGGCAGCCTGCAGATGCCAGACAAGAGACTTTCTTCTTGTGACAGTTTGAGCTCCCTCACTGCAATTAACTTTTTCTCCCCCTCCCTCTCCTCCTTCATCTTATGCAATGCAGTTCAGAAAAAGGGGGCCTGTATTTTCCTCCTGCTGATGGAAGTTGATTAGCAGTCAGGTGGAGTGATGCTCAGGGGACAGCACAACGGATTAATTAAATCACTTCTACTGGCTAAGTGGTGACACTTTGATTTATAGCAGAGCTCACTCAACCAGACAGCGGCTTTTCTTGCATACCGAAGGAAGAAGGGCCATACTGGCCAGTGGTTGGAGACTGGGGGCTTTGCAAACTTTAAACACAAGCATCGTAGTCATTAAAGCCAAAGCCCCCCACTGTGTTCCTCTCTTGGGGGTAGGGGGATCTGCAAGGGAGACAAACTAGACAAAGCAGAGAGACTGAGCCAGGGGAGGCACAGGACTGTATCACGCCCTGCAGAAAAGTGAGCTTGAAGCAGTTCAGCACTGTTTCCCCCAGGTCTGTCTTTACTGAACCGTTCTTTGGCATCGAACTTTGGCTCACCCTGAAGAAATAGACCTATGGGAGTCCTATGGTATTGGCTCAGGAGTGCTGGTGACTGTTTCCATGACAGCACAGGGTCTTCTCAATTAGGAGCCCTCAGATCAAAATGCATGGATTAGCTGTGCCTCTGCTGGTATGTTTTATGTCACAAATGGCATACATTTTGTGGCTGATCCTATTTCAGTCTTTGCTTGGGCCGTTGAGAAGTGCAATCGAAGCCGGGCACAGTGGCTCACACCTGTAATCTCAGCACTTTGGGAGGTCAAGGCAGGCTGATCACCTGAGGTCAGGAGTTTGAGACCAGCCTGGCCAACATGGTGAAACCCCATCTCTACTAAAAATACAAAAAAATTAGGTGTGGTGGCGCATGCCTGTAATCCCAGCTACTCGGGAGGCTGAGGCAGAAGAATCGCTTGAACCCGGGAGGCAGAGGTTGCAGTGAGCTGAGATCGCATCACTGCACTCCAGCCTGAGTGACAGAGTGAGACTCCATCTCAAAAAAAAAAAAAAAAAAAGTTCAGTCGCACATGCAGCCCAAACTGTGGGCCTTCATACACTCTCCCGTGTATGAGCTCTTTATGGATTCCCTGTATAAGTCTCTCCCAACTCTTCCTTTACCTGGAACATTTTTGTTTATCTTGAAATGCTCTTTGAAGAGCTGCCTCCAACAACCTTAAGAATGAGGTCATATAACATAGCAGTCAAATCCCTAAACTTTAGAGCATATTTAGCAAGGTCTGCTTCTCTGATAACCTATATTGGATTCGGGAGCTTGTTATACAGATCCCGACCGGGCGCAGTGGCTCACGCCTATAATCCCAGCATTTTGGGAGGCAGAGGTGGGAAGATCACTTGAGGCCAGGAGTCTGAGACCGGCCTGGGCAACATAGCAAGACCCAGTCTCCACAAAAATAAAAAATACAGATTCCTGGGTCCCATTCCATACCTTCTGAATCAGAATAGGTCAGACACAGCCTTTCTTTTTAACAGAATCTTCTAGGCAATTCTGGAACACGCTGACATTGGAGAACCATAGTTTTAGGGTCAGACATCCCTAAAAGCAAATCTCAGCTCTACCAGTCAATAGCAGTTTACTTCAAGCAAGGATCATCTCTTTTTTCTCAACCATAAAATGACACTGGTGAGAATTAAATTAGATGTCTGTAAGTAGATAAACATCTAACATGGCTGGCTGGCAACCTGTAAGACTCAATAAATGGTAGACAACTCGAATGTCCAAAGATGGATGATGAATCAGCAAAATGTGGTCCATATGTATATGGAATATTATTCAGCCTTAGAAAGGAAGGAGGTTTTGACACATGCTGCAACGTGGATGAATGTCCTTTGAGGACATGATACCAAGTGAAAGAAGTCAGACACAAAATGAGGGTCTCATTTAGATGAGGCCTGTCGTACGGTCAAAATCATAGAGACAGGAAGTAGAATGGTGGCTGCCAGGAGCTGGAGGGAGTGGGAGATGAGGTTACTGTTTAATGGGTGCTATAGAATTTCAGTTTGGGGGCTGGGCATGGTAGCTCAAGCCTTTAATCCCAGCACTTTGGGAGGCCGAAGCTGGTGGATCACTTGAGGCCAGGAGTTCAAGACCAGCCTGGCCAATATAGTGAAACTCTGTCTCTACTAAAAATAACAAAAATTAGCTGGGTGTGGTGTGCATGCCTGTAATCTCAGCTACTTGGGAGGCTGAGACAGGAGAATCGCTTGAACCCAGGAGGCAAAGGTTGCAGTGAGCCGAGATTGCACCACTGCACTCCAGCCTGGGTGACAGAGTGAGACTCTGACACACACACGCACGCACACACACACACAAAGAATTTCAGTTTGGGGTGGTGCAAAAGTTCTGGAGATAGATGGTGGTGATGGCTGCACAACAGTGTCTATGCACACGATGTCACTCAACTGCACACCACTTTTAGGTGTACACATTAGCTGACATAATCTTTTTGGGCATTGAAAATGGCAAATCTTGCCAGGTGCAGTGGCTCACACCTGTAATCCCAGCACTTTGGGAGGCCAAGGCATGAGGATTGCTTGAGCTCAGGAGTTTGAGAGCAGCCTGGGCAACAGAGGGGGAACCCATGTCTTAAAAAAGAATATATAAAAATACAAAAATTAGCTGGGCATGGTGTTGCATGCCTGTAGTCCCAGCTACTCTGGAGGCTGAGGTGAGGATCACTCGAGCCTTGAAGTTGAGGCTGCAGTGAGCTGAGATTGCAACACTGCACTCTAGCCTGGGTGACAGAGTGAAACCCTGTCAAAAATGAAAGAAAGAACGAAAGAAAGAGAAAGAAGGAAGGAAAATTGCAAATCTTGTGTGTATTTTACCACAATCAAAAAATAAAATAAATGATAGTTACCACCACCGACAAACAAAAGTTATTTTTCAACTCCCAATTCCCCACCTTGCCCTTCCAGATCTTCTACAATCGATCTAGCAACAAAGCATCCAGTTGAGGTGCAGGAGGAAGGGGAATGGAGGAGAAATGGGAAAGAAATAATAGTCTCTAGCCCTCTCATTGTTTTTTCTTAACCCAGGAGTCCAAAAAGTCCCCAAGAAGCCACGGACCGCTTATCCCAACTGTGAAGGAAGCTGATGCGACATCAAATATTAAAAGGGTAGAGGAACCAGCATAGTTTTCCATATAAATGAAGCTACTTACATATATGAAGATTGCTTTTAAAATTCAAATATAATTATTTTTTAAAAGGCATCCCGCGAGCTCTGTCTCTCTCCCAGCACTGACACTTCTGGGCTGTTGTCATGTGCCAGTGAGGTGCCTGTTGGCAGACAGCCCAAAGCACTTTGTAACATGCCCTCCAGATCCTAAGTGAAAACTGATCAAAGAATTGGCACCAGCAAAGACAAGACTGAAATCAGCTCTAAAAGGGGTGGGGTTGGACTATTGTCCCTCTTTGTGGGAACAGCTGCTTAACGGGGCATTGGAGCGGCGTGATTATAATATGCATACGGACTGCTCTGTTAACAGAAGCCGGCTTAAAGTACTCCAGGGGCCTCCACCTTGTGTTTTGGCAAAGGGATCTTCGAGGATGCTGTGTCAAACCTTTTTGAAAATGTCTCCTTGACACGGAGGGTGAGGAACGGCGTCTGCGAATCTCATTACACAGGGTCCCACGCCTCCCTCTGCTGTTCTCCGGCTCCCGTTTCTTGGCTGCCGCCAGTGGGAGTCGCACGGGGGTCACCTGCCCCCACTTTTAATCAGGACGGGGAAAAATGCACCAAAGGAGTGCCGCGGGTTACCTGAGCAGACCCGGGAGCCCGTCTCCTGAGTCCTGGGGGAGGATCATTTATTTGTCTGCAGATCGGCAAGCGGGCAGGTTTGCAGAGTCCCTGGGGGCTAGTAGTTCTTATAAAGGAGAATGCACCACCAAGCAATTAGTTTCATTGTATTGTGCATGGGATGGCATCGCCCGCTCTGGAACGGAAGAGGAGAGGGGACATCCCGGCACTGGGAGTGGGGAGGGCTGAGAGGGACCCCATGGACACAGCTGACGCCCAGTTCCATAGGCCAGGGGAGGGAAGCGAACCGTGCAAGTGCTGGAGTCGTGGGGCTGGGATCTCCCACATCTGAATCTGACACGTTCATCCCAGGGCACTGGAACTTAAGATGTGAGTTAGCATCCCCCTTCATCGGAGGTGGAAACTGGAGATCAGCAAGGTTAGGACAATTTCACCAAAGTGTCCTAGTTAGTAAGTGGCAGGGCTAGGACCACACTGCCCCCCTCCCCGCAACACCCTCATCTGTCCCACTCCAGGGCCTATGTGTTTTGCTAGTTGGTTTTGTTTTTACTTGCACCCCACCTAAAGGAAACGGATATGTTTCTTTTTCTGGGGGGGTAGTTGGCTGCTCCCCAGGCCCTGCCGAGTCCCTGTTCGGGATGGTTTCCCCGTCTCCGTCCTCAGCCCGTTGGCAGCTAAAAGACCCCCTGGCCTCCATCTCCCAGTGTCTGTGGGTAGAAGCGAAGGGAGGGTGGGAGGAGGGGAACAGTTTTAAAATGAATATATGCATGTGTCTCTCCTGCTAATCACCGGAATGCATTTTCAGGAGAGGTGAGCGGAGGGATTAGCTGCAGGACTCCCATTAATGTTAACTTTATTTCAGTAATGAGGTGCCAAGGCATAGAACAATCACTGTGGCTAACACGGTGTAATCACAGTGATGAGATCCGCATGCTGCGAGGGGAGGGCGAGGGGAGGATCGTCAGGAGAGGGGGGCTGCTCGCTGGTGGGGACGGATGACACAGAAGAGGTGGGGGAGCAGGACGGGAGAGGAAGAGGGAGGAGGAGGCAGGTGACCCTTGGCAAGGGCCGAGTGGGTTAAATGAGGGCCCCTGATAAGGAGGAAATAATGGTAGCAACTCCTCGGTGCTCAGAGTGGATAGCCCGGGAGGAGGACTCTGCTCATTTAATTTAATCCTCATGGCAAAAGGGAGGGCAAGGTGTCATCTCCATTTTATAGATCAGCAAACTGAGTTTGAGAGATGTTAAGTAATTTGCCCGACGTCACAGAGCTGTTGGAAGAACCTCAATTGGAAGTAAGTTTCTCCTAATCACTAAACCTTTCGGGACTGCACCCTGACTACAGAGAGCAGAGATAGCAGGCAAGTGCCGAAGAGCTAAAACAGCAGGGCTGGCAGGAGGAAGACGCGGTTGTGCATGCCCAGCTCGCCTGGAACACCAATGCACGTGCCTGGGTCAGTAGGACTCGGCACTGAACCACAGCTGACCATTTGGGTGTCTTAGCCATGCTGAGAGAAGAGAAGAAAGGAAAGGCGGAAAAATTGCTACATAACCAGATTCCAGGTGCCATCTCTAGCCACAGAGGAAATCATCAATGCATCCACAAACAAAAGTTAGAATGTTCTCTGAATCTCCTGACCACCCTATCCTTCCGTTTGCAAATGCTTGCACCCAAGGGACAGTTAACTCCTAACAGAGGCTAGTGTTTCTCCAAGTGTGAGCTGCAGACACATCCGGGCACCTGTTAAAAACACTGCTTGCTGGGCTCTGCCCCAGACCTGTGCCCAAAGCATTTCCTTCTTTCTTTCTTTCTTTCTTTCTTTTTTTTTTGGGGGGGGGGTGGTGGGGGCGGGACAGAGTCTCTCTCTGTTGCCCAGGCTGGAGGCTGGAGTGCAGTGGCTCGATCTCAGCTCACTGCAACCTACGCCTCCCGGGTTCAAGTGATTCTCCTGCCTCAGCCTCCCGAGTACCTGGGATTATAGGCACACACCACCATGCCTGGCTAATATTTTATATTTTTAGTAGAAATGGGGTTTCCCCATTTTGGCCAGACTGGTCTTGAACCCCTGACCTCAAGTGATCTACCCGCCTCGGCTTCTCAAAGTGCTGGGATTACAGGCGTAAGCCACTGTGTCCAGCCCCAGAGCATTTCTTAGAGCAGTTCCTGGATGAGGTTTCCTGGAGGTTTCCTGAAATTTTCTCTGTATTTGTAAGAACTCGCAGAAAGCAGACATCTATAACCAGCAAAGCACATTCTGTAGGCCAGTCTTGCCCCAACTCCATGACCCCATCACCTCCCCTGGTTGTTCAAAAGTACGAAGTTCATGCCTTCAACACAACACATTTATTGAGCACCTACAATGTGCCAAGCTCTAGTTCAAGCCCTGGAGATAGAGCAAGAATCAAACCTAAGTCCCTGCTTTTGCAAAGCTTGCATTCCAGGGAGCAAGACAAGCAAACAACCAAACCGGGAGGATATCAGGATATCAGAGAGTGCCGTGAGGGAAACGAAAGCGGGAGGAATAGAGCAGTGGTTTTCAATCAGGGCGATGTTGCCCCCCAGGGAACATCTCGAAATGTCTAGAGATACTTTTGGTTGTCATCATCTGGGGAGGGAGGTGCTGGAATGTAGGGGCCAGGGGGGCTGCTAAACACCCTTCAACACACAGGGCAGCCCCCGCAACAAAGAATTATCCAGACCTAAATGTCACTGGTGCCCAGGCTGATAACTCCTGGGCTAGGGAAGACAGAGGACTGCTGTTCAAGGCAGGGGTCAGGGAAGGCCTCCGGTGAGGGACACTTGAGCAAGGACCCAGAGCAGATGAAGGATGTCTGTGGACGGAAGGTCTCAGGCAGAGGGGATGGGGTTGGAGGAGGCGCCCTCACTGCAGGTGGGAGCATGCACGCCTCGAGGGAGAGATCTGGGGGTTTCAGCCTAAGTGTGATGGAGCCTGGGGGTCCCAGCAGGGCCAGAGATGCTCTCACTTAAGCTTCCAAAGGGTTCCTTTGGCTGCTGCAAGGAGAACAGCCTAGGAGGAGCCGAGAGGAGCTGGGGACTAGGTGGGAGGATGCTGGGTCACCTAGGCAAGAAATGTAGGGGCTGGAAGGGGAAGAGGAGCCCCAGGGTGGTAAGGTGTGGTCTGGATCAGAATGTGTCATCCAGGACCGGGCGCAATGGCTCACGCCTGTAATCCCAGCACTTTGGGAGGCCAAGGCGGGCGAATCACTTGAGGTCAGGAGATCGAGACCAGCCTGGCCAACATTCTGAAACCCTGTCTCTACTAAAAATACAAAAATTAGCTGGGCGTGGTGGCAGGTGCCTGTAATCCCAGCTGCTCAGGAGGCTGAGGCAGGAGAATCACTTGAACCCGGGAGGTGGAGGGAGCAGGGAGCCGAGATCATGCCACTGCATTCCAGCCTGGATGACAGAGCAAGACTCTGTCTCAAAAAAAAAAAAAAAAAAAAAAAAAAGACTGCGCCATCCAGGCTGTAGCTTCTAGAAGGGATTTGCTGAGGGATTAGTTGAGGGTGCGAGACAGAAATCAAGAGCCACCTTGGAGCTGACTTTCCATGAGGTCCCTGCTCCAGGTGTGTCCTTGACAAAAGGGACTCCAAGCCCTGCTTCTAACCCTAAGCCAGTGGCTCTCAACTAGTGGCGATTGTGCCCCCCAGAGGACACTGGAGACTAGGCCATGTCTGGAGACATTCGGGGTTGTCATAGCTGGGGATGCTGGCTCCTACCGGCATCTAGGGGGTGGAGAGGTCAGGGATGCTGCTGAACGTCCTGCAGTGCCCAGGACAGCCCCCACCACAGTCACCCAGCCCCGAATGTCACTAGTGCCAAGACTGAGGAATCCTGACCCCTGATTCCCCCTAAACCCTGCCACCTCCTCTCACACGGGGCCTGGCCCCACCAACTTAGCGGGGACTTTGTCAGAGGCCAGAGATTCCAAATCAATGCATCTCAGTGGCTAAGGTCCATATTAACTACATCTCACTTGCTTCTGACAGTGACACAGATCAGATGCTGCTGCTGTCGTGGCTGCCACCACAAGAAACAAGAGTGTTGGAGTGCAAATTCATTATCCAGCTGTTAAGAGCGACAGAGCATGCACACATCTCTCCCCGACCGGGTTATCTGAGAGCCAGCCCTGCTGTATGATTGAGTGGCTGCCAGCCTCCTCTTCTCTGTAACCTTGACACGCCAGAGCCGGGCCTCCAGTGCACAGGCTAAAAATCCTAAAGGCAACGGCGGCGGCAACAAATAGATGGGTTAATTTGTTTCATGCCCCCGTTGTCACCAGGCTCTCGCAGAATAAAACCACCACCACCACCACCACAACCTCCATTTGTGGGGTTTAATACCCCAGCTGCTGGGAATCAGATTCAGCCGGAGGAAGAAAATGTGACGTCGATGCAGAGATCCATTTATTCGGTGATGTTTGCTTAAAAACCGGTTTTTCATCTGCAGGTTATTCTTGCACGCTTGGACCTCAAGCAACACAATATCACATTTCCAGGTGGTATCTTTAAGGAAAGCTAATTAAGACTCTTGGCACTTGTAGGATGAAACATTTTACAATTTTCTTCAAAGCAATTTGCCAACATTAGCTAATTAAAACACCCAGCCTTCCATTGAGGGACAATGGGAAGAGCATACAATTGTCATTTCTGAGCATCTGTTGTACGGATAGAAATCCAAATTCCTGTTGCTTCTACTTGGTCAATGTCCTTCTCTGAAGGTGGCCTTTCATGGTTTTTCTGCAACCTGCATTTAGGAGCATTTAGAAGAAGATTCCAGCTTTTCTAGCACTTAGCCTCTAAAATAAAGAACAACACAGGGAAAGGAGTTTGAGCAATTGAGGCTGGTCTGCTAAGCCAGGGGTTGGCAAACTATGGCCCAAGGGCTAAATCCAGCCCTTGACCTTTCTTTAAAGTTTTATTGGAATACAGCCATGCTCATTGGTTTACATATTGTTTCTGGCTACTCTCAAGCTAAAACAGCAGGGTTAAGTGACTGCTAGAGAAAGTATAAGGCCTAGAAAGCTGGAAATATTTTTACTGTCTGGCCCTTTATGAAAACAGTTTGCAGACCTCTGCATTCAGCGGTCTGTTGCATCTGCCTATGATTTTCCCGCTCTGCAGGCCAAACTACCCCATTCCCAGTTGTTGATTGGACAGCTCTTTTCCCATGGTGTCATTACTGTTATTAAGTGTCTAGGCCCCAAATGAAGGTCTCCAAAGAAGTGTCTCTGGTCAGTAGAAAGGATTTTTTTTCTTTAGATAGAGATAGGGCCTCTCTATGTTAACCAGGCTTATCATGAACTCCTGGCCTCAAGCAATCCTCCCATCTCGGCCTCCCGAAGTGCAGGGATTACAGGCATGAGCCACCATGCCCGGCCCATTAGAAAGGTTATTCAAGGAAAGGGAATTTGAATTTAATCTCTCAGTATAGAAGATAATTTGACAATGTCAAAACCCAATAGAGGCCGGGCACAGTGGCTCACACCTGTAATCCCAGCACTTTGGGAGGCTGAGGCGGGTGGATCACCTGAGGTCAGGAGTTCGAGACCAGCCTGGCCAACATGGTGAAACCCCGTCTCTACTAAAAATATAAGAGTTAGCCAGGCGTGGTGACACATGTCTGTAATCCCAGCTACTTGGGAGGCTGAGGCAGGAAAATCACTTGAACCTAGGAGGCAGAGGTTACAGTGAGCCAAGATCGCACCACTGCACTCCAGCCTGGCAACAGAGTGAGACTCCGTCTCAAAACAAAACCCAATAGAATCTTTCTCCCATTTTACTCCGTTTTCCTAAGGATTGCAAGGTCAGCCTTCTGCTGCAGTTCGTCCAAAACATTTCCCCTTCTCCAGCCGCCACCACCCCGTTTGGAGATTCCGTCTTGGGGAATTCATTCCCCTTTTTTGAGTCCTGCCTTCTGGATAGTTCGAGGACCCTTCAGTTCTCCATGGATGGAGCTCATGGTCACCTGGATGCCTACAACTGGGGAATGAGAGGCCAGGGATCAGGGGTGGGGATGTAATTAATTTCATCTGGGTCCTGGGGTGTCTGAAGGCAGGACCAATGTGACTTTTACCTTCAAGGTTGGCGGAGACATTTCTAGATACCCCTTACCTTCTCCCCCATCTTCCTTAGCACATCCTTATCTGAAGGCAAACCTTTATCTGCTGCATTGTTTATGTGAAGTAGCTTGAAGAATCCTCATTCATCCAGGAGAAACTCCTTTCAAAGGGTGCAGGAAAAACCCTGCAGGTGGTACACCCCCAGAGACACCCCCGCAATAAGGCCACTCTGCAAATCGGGGCCTTCAAGAATGAGTTGGTGAAGGCAGGGGTGGGGATAACCAGACAGAGATGGGGAGACACCCTCCCTACAGCCATAGCAGCCACTGCCATCACGGAATTAGTTCCAGGCTAGTGTGCGTGTCCCACTGACTCATGAATGGCCATGTGCTGGATTAGGATCTTGCAGTGCAGGACAAAATAGGCTTGCGTGGAATCTAACTTACAGAGGACATCTAAATAGGGATTTTAGCTTAGTTCAAATCCCGCTATGTTTTTGGGCTCACTCAGCCACATTGCCCACTAGAAGATTCTGAGAGCAAAAGGACTCAGTAGAAAGCATTTTTGCTAGTCTGAGGGTTACCAAATCATAGCTTCTTGGTTTAGAAGAGAGACTGAAACAAATTTCTGTTGTACACAGTGTGGGCAAAAAACTTTACAGATATTATCTTTTTTTTTCTTTTTTTTTCTTTTTTTTTTTTTTATACTGAGTCTAACTCTCTTGCCCAGACTGGAGTGCAGTGGCATGATCTCGGCTTACTGCAACCTCTGCTTCCCATGTTCAAGCGATTCTCACACCTCAGCCTCCCGAGTAGCTGAGACTACAGGCGTGCACCAACACGCCCAGCTGATTTTTTTGTATTTTTAGGAGAGACAGGGTTTTGTCATGTTGGCCAGGCTGGTCTCAAACGCCTGACCTCAAGTGATCTGCCTGCCTCGGCCTCCCAAAGTTACTGGGAATACAGGCGTGAGCCACCACACCCAGCCTACATATGTTATCTTTTTAATCCCCCCTAAAAACCTGTGGGGGAGGGTATTACGATGCATCTTGGCAATTTTACAAATAAAAATTCCCAGCTTCAGAAGGGTTTAGAATTGGTTTAAAATTATGCCACGTGTAAGGGGCAGAGTTGGATGGAAGCCCAGGTCTGTCTGCTCAAGCCCACTCAGCTCTCTGTGCTGGGTTCCATTCTCCCATGCCACACATACAAGTGTATTCTTAGTATGTTTCTTTCCTTTGCTTTTTTCGTTGAAGAGCTGGGGTCTCACTATGCTGCCCAGACTGGTCTCAAACTCCTGGGCTCAAGTGATCCTCCCACATCAGCCTCCCAAAGTGCTGGGATTACAGGCATGAGCCACCGCCCCTGGCCATCTTCGTATATTTCTTAGTATATTCAGAGTTGCACAGCCATTCTCACAATCAATTCTAGAATATTTTCATTACCTCCCTGAAAGAAATCCCATATCAATTAGCCATCACTCCCCATTTCCCCCAGTCCCTTCAGCCCCAAGCAACCACTAATCTACTTTCTGTCTCTACAGATGTGCCTATATTCCGATTTGCCATTTCTCGTTAAGTGGAATCATAGATGATGTGGCCTTTGTGACTAGCTTCTTGTTTAGGATTTAGCATCAGGCTGCCGAGTTTCATCCATGTTGTAGCATGGATCAGCACTTCCTTCCTTTTTGTGGCTGAGTAATATTCCACTGTTTGGGTAGACCACATTTTGTTTATGGTTGAATAATATTCCACTGCATGGGTAGACCACATTTTGTTTAAATATTCCTCTGCTGATGAACATCTGGGCTATTTCTACCTTGTGGCTACTGGAATAGTGCTGTTGTAAATATTTGTGTACACATTTTTCCGTACATTTTAGAAAATCACATTTTTGTGCCTTTTGTTAAAGACTGAAAGAAAAGTTATAAACACATGCTCTCATTGAACAGTGTTACAAATATTTATTGAAACGACTGAGGCATTTAGGGCAGGATAAAGCAGCTGGGTATGGTAAAAAGAAAAGTGAGTCAAAAGTCAAGGCCGGGCATGGTGGCTCACGCCTGTAATCCCAGCATTTTGGGAGGCCGAGGCGGGGGGATTGTTTAAGTCCAGGAGTTCGAGACCAGCCTGGCCAACATAGCGAAATCCTGTCTCTGCTAAAAATACAAATATTAGCTGGGCATGGTGGTTTGTGCCTGTAGTCCCAGCTACTTGGGGGGCTGAGGCAGGAGGATCACTTGAACCTTGGGAGGTTGAGGCTGCAGTGAGCCGTGATCGCACCACTGCACTCCAGCCTGGGTGAAGGAATGAGACCCTGTCTCAAAAAAAAAAAAACAAAAAAGTCAACATACAGAATGATTGATCTTTTTGATTCATTCACTAAATACTTATTAAAATATCTCCTGAGCATAAGATGGTATCCTGGGTACTGATGATTTCACTCCCTAGCTAGTCTATCATTCCATTATTATTATTATTATTATTATTATTATTATTATTATTATTATTTTCAGATGGAGATTCACTCTTTTCACCCAGGCTGGACTGCAGTGGCATAATCTCTGCTCACTGCAACCTCCACCTCCCAGGTTCAAGCGATTCTCCTGCCTCAACCTCCCGAGTAGC